>NW_025791779.1:151242-302485 GCF_000001405.40 Homo sapiens | reverse complement strand
CTGGGTAATGTTTCAGCAATTGGAAGAATAATGCACCATAGAAAATGGAGATAAGGAGAGTGTAGTAGTGGAAAAGGAGAGATTTTTGAAAGAGCCTGAAAGTTGACCTTTATAGTCACACTTAAATCTTGTACAATTGAGTGAGGAAAAACTTCTCTACTGAGCAAGCGAGTAGACTTTGATGTTCTGGAAAAAAGGAAGGCTCTGAGAAAACACACTTAATCTGTCATTATGAAAATAAGAATGGGTAGGGCGCGGTGGCTCACACCTGTAATCCCAGCACTTTGGGAGGCCGAGGCGGGCGGATCACGAGGGCAGGAGATCGAGACCATCCTAGCTAACACGGTGAAACCCCGTCTCTACAAAAAATACAAAAAATTAGCCGGGCGTGGTAGCGGGAGCCTGTAGCCCCAGCTACTCAGGAGGCTGAGGCAGGAGAATGGTGGGAACCCGGGAGGTGGAGCTTGCAGTGAGCTGAGATCGCGCCACTGCACTCCAGCCTGGGCGACAGAGCGAGACTCTGTCTCAAAAAAAAAAAAAAAAAAAAAAAAAAAATGAAAATAAGAATGAAGCGTCCTTGAAAGATTGGTTAAACAACAACAACAACAACAAAACTATCTTACCCTACACAAGACTGAAGCTTTGTAGTCAAGAATTTTGAGGATGTTTCAGAATGTTCTAAATTGCTCAAGAGAAAAGATCAATAAATAATACCTTGGGTTTTCTTACAGCAACATTTATCTGTAGAATTTTACCTGTGTAAAATAGTGTGTATCTGTTTTCTTCTCATACAATTAAAAATCACATTCCTCAGGTTTCCTGGTAGATAAGGTTCTGAATTAAAATTTGACTTCAAGATTTACTAAAATTTGGAAAGTGGAAATAAGGTGGAAATTATCTTTCTGGTGTTTATGCCATATGGACAATGTTAGTGATAAAATATAATTGTTGAGAATATGTTATAGCCTTCTGATCTGGAGGCAGAGTGTGTAATCACCATCAGCATAGATGTGCAAATTTGTTGTGACATCAGCAAGGAGTTTCTGATACATATATTGCAGTTATTACCATGTTCTTTGAACTAAACCATCTAAAATATGAAGCTGCCCTCTTTTTCTCTAGACCTTCAAACACGATATTAAGTACCTAATTTCTGTAAATCCCTTTGTATATATGAATGGATTTCCATTATCTACACTGAACCTGATAGAATAACTAAATGCCTTATATTGGAAAAGAAAAAAAAAAGTATACTCTCAGCACCTCCACCTGCACCCCCGACAACAACACACTGGGATAAAGATTTTAATCAGTTCTCTTGTGCTCTACAAATTAATAAAAATGAAAATCGGGCTCATCCTATTTGAACTAAAATATTTACTGCTATAATTAAAAAATGTTAAATATAAAACTGAGTCAAGAGAACAAAATAAATATGAATGGGGGGGAAAGCTACTTAAAATAGCTGAATGGTTTGAAAGTGATTGAGTCTAGGAGCAATAGGAAGTAAGGGGTACCTTGAGAGGTCTATATGAAGCTTTCAACAGTATTAGAATTTCTAGGTAATTTACCTGATATGTTAAATAAAAATTAGAAAATAGCAGAGCAGTGCTGCAATGAGTAGACTTGAATGCATTAGCAAACCTTATTCTCTTTAAATATATGTATAGTGTTATACACACAGTTTGTGAAGATTAGCTAACTGAGCTGCTATTATATCATTGTAAATTCTCAATATATTCTAAATACAGATATGTTACTATGTGTAATTCCACTTATAGTGTGTACATAGGCATAAAGTGATTACTTTTTAATCTATTGCTATTTGGTTATGTAATATAACAATACATATGCATTTTATTTAATTCAGTAAAAACCATTATTGTAGGTGTCATAAATCTAGATTTAAGATATTTAACTCACAATGGATTTAATAAAAAAAGAATTCAAATATGTAAATTATTGAGATCACATGACTTATTAAAACATGATATTTTATATTTTTCAAATTGTGGGTTTGTTTTATAAACAACATACTATTATATGAACTAAGAGGATCAAAATTAAAGTGTTTAAAATGGAAAGGAAAGGAGCAGTAGTTTCCTGATTTTCATTTGAAATAAAGAACTTGAGGTCTCAAACATATTAAGTCATTCCTTTATTCTATCTCCTTTTGAATCTCAAACACAATAATTGAAAAAAGTTTGTGTCTATTTGGGGTTGTGACAAAAATGTATCAACTATTTCTTTACGTTTTAGTAGGACTTACTCTACACCTTTGTAAGAGGCATGACTAAGAATACCAAAAATACCATTAATTTACCCATTTGATTGAAGTACAATTGACTAATACTATTTATTTCTTGCCAATAGTGGGCTACATTAAATACCATATCATCATGAAAGCATGTTAATTTGAGTAAATGCTAGAAGTCCAGAAATACATCTTTAGGACTATTAACATCTCTTTATTCTCTAAGGCATTCAGTATGCCACAGCTAGAAATTTTTTTAATGAACAGTGGGAAAGTAAAATAGTATGCTATGTAATTAGATGTAAAGAAGATAAATATAATTATAGCATCTGGAGGCTGGTGGGAAGTCATCCCATTGCGACTCATGACTGAGAATAATTGAGTAAGTGAGTCTAAGGTTACTAAACAGATTAAGTTCCTGGATATGAGTGAACTATGTAACCTTCTCATTGGTGATTGCTTTTTATGAAGAAAGTCTACCTGTCTGAAAAATTAGTTGCAAAATCTAGCTGTCAGTGGTGTAAAATTAATAGTAGAATTTTAGGTGTTGTTTTTGTTGTTTAAACCCTACTTTTTTTTTTGCCTTTACATAAATACAATTTTCCGGCAAAATAGATTATATAATATATTACAAATAGTGTTCATAAATTTTATGCTGGTAAATAGTTTACACTAGTTGTTAATATCCTTACATATTTAAGATGACTAACTCTTTTTGGTAATAGTGGTATTAAGGTAATAATAATTTTGTTAATCTTAAAATATATGACCTTATTTTAAAATTTATGTCAGCAATACCATTAAATACATTTGTAAAAGTTGGTAGAAATTATCTGTTAATGGGACACGAAGAGACTAGGTGATTATTCCTGTAGAAGACAATTAAAATTGGAAAAATGTACTTAAAACAGATACTTGAAGCACTCTGAAAATGGCCAGAGGGCAAAATATGAAAAGAATTTAGTGTTGAAAGATTGCTAGTATATCAGGTGTGTGCTATGTACAAGACTTCCCTCAGGTGGCAAACTGTAACCTTATAAGTTCCAGTGGTAGATGATGGAGTTCAGAGCAGCTGAGCCATAGGATATGGCTGGAACATTCTGGAAGTCAGACAGCCACAGACAGTTTGAGATTCAAAATTAGAGTATAAACTCTATTCCAATTTCTGTCTGACTGTTATATTTTGCATTTTGCATGAGACACCAGAAGCCTGGTTGAAAAGTGGACATAAACCAATGCACAAAACAGGTGGCAACACAGTAGATGTGTTCCTGATTGAGATGTCAAAGGGCTGTTCTTAGTTCTTGTAAAGAACTAAGAAGGTCTGTATTGGAAAGTCTGAAAGTCTACCCAAATCCTTAAATTACTAGTAGACTGAGACGTTGCAGGGGCAATCCACACAAAGTGAGGTCTAAAATGAAGTCAAATTAGCCACATAGAGACAACAGTTCTTGTACATGACAGGATAAAAAGATTCCGGATGAGACCATTCAATTTCACGTCTAGTGTAACAAAATACAACTGTTCACAGAGAAATAGAACCCAGAGTCATCAACATTCTTGCTGTCTACAATGTTCAGTTTTCCACCAGAAAATGTTAGACATGAAAAGATACAGAAATTATCACTTATAATCAGAAAAAGGCCAGGTATGGTGGCTCACACCTGTAATCCCTGCAATTTGGAGGCCGAGACAGGCAGATCGCTTAAGTCCAGGAGTTCAAGACAAACCTGGGCAACATGGTGAAACCCCCATCTCTACAAAAATACAAAATATTCACTGGGTATAGTGGCACGCACCTGTAGTCCCAGCTAATTGGGAAGCTGAGACTGTAGAATGGCTTGAGCTCAAGAGGTTGAGTCTCGCTCTGTCGCCCAGGCTGGAATGCAGTGGCACCATCTGGGCTCACTACAACTTCCACCTCCCATGTTCAAGTGATTCTCTTGCCTCAGCATCCTGAGTAGCTGGGACTACAGGCACGTGCCACCATGCCCGGCTAATTTTTTGCGTTTTTAGTAGAGATGGGGTTTCACTGTGTTAGCCAGGATGGTCTCCATCTCCTGACCTTGTGATCCGCCCTCCTCGGCCTCCGAGAGTGCTGGGATTACAGGCGTGAGCCACTGCACCCGGCCAGGTTGAGGCTTCAATCAGCTGGGATCACACCACTGCACTCTCGCCTGGACAACACAGCAAGACCCTATTTCAAAAAAAAAGTAAATAAATAATAAATCAGAAAAAGGTAGTCAATAGACAATGACTCTGCATGCCCTCAGGTTTTGAATTTCACATATAAATACTTACAAAATTGAAAGAATTTAAGAGAAACGTGGTATAATAAGAGAACAGCTAAGAAAACTTATATTTGTTTTTATTGCTGTTGTAACAAATTGCCAAAGGTTCAGTGCCTCAAAACAACATAGATTTATTGTGTTATAGTTCTGAAGGATCATTTATCTGAAATTATTATCTTCAGACTTAAGTAAAGGTGTCAACAAGGATGGCCTCTTCTGAGTGCAATAGAAAAATTGTGTTTCTTGCCCCTTCTACTTCTAGAGGTTGCCAGCTTCCCTTGATTCTTGGCTGCATCACTCCAATCTCGGTGCCTAAGGTTATATCACCTTCTCCTGTAATATCTCAAATATCTCTTTATCTCCCTCCTATAAGGACATGGGTGATTATGTTTAGGGCCTACACAGGTAACCCAGGATAACTCTCCATCTCAAATCCTTAACTAAATCATATCTTCAAATTCTCTTTTGCTACATGAGGCAATATTCCCAGGGTCTAGGGATAAGGACATAGACATCTGTGGGGACCATCATACAGCTGATAACACAGCTAAAGAGAAAATGTAAATAGGTGCCAAATGAAACACCTAGAGCTGAAAATTTGAAAAATGTTCTGTCTCTTATAAAAACGGGTATAACCGTCAGTAATATACCAACTTCCATCACCATTCTTTGTGACACAGAGATGTGTGTAGATCTAAATTCTTTTAAAAAAATAAATAAGACTTTATTTTTTAGAGTATTGTAGGTTCACAGCAAAACTGAGCAGAGGGTACAGATATTTTCCATATATTTCCTCCATTCCACCCTGCCTGCACAGCCTTCCTCATTATCAATATTGCACACCAGAATGGGATGTTTGTTAAGACCAGTGAACATACATTGATGCATTATTAGCACCCAAAGTCCATAGCTGACATTAGGATTCACTCTTAATGTTGTGCATTCTATGGGTTTTTATAAATGTATAATGACTACAATAATACATAATAGTTTTACAGTCCTAAAGATCCTCCGTACTCTGTCAGTTCATCCCTTTCTTCACCCAACCCATACCAACCATTATTTTACTATATTTATTAGAATACCAACATACCTACAGAATGTCATATGATTGGACTCATACAATATGTAGTCCTTTCAGATTGGCTGCTTTCACTTAGTAATTTGCATGTAAGTTTCAACAGTGAATGAGCATTCTTGTTGCTCAACATTCTTTCTGGAATTACATTCTCATAGATGTTACTTTATGTCTGCCTGAATGAATAATTTTTATGTGCTGAACTTTTGTGTTTTCATATTTCCTTATGTAAAAATAGTTGGAGAAAATAATATAGCTGATTTCATCTTCAAATTTATGGGCTCAGTCTCCAAATACACTTTCAATATTCTCTGGAAAACCTACCATATTTTTTGTTTAAAGCTTGCTTTTAAACTCTTCAAGATATCTATTGCTTCCTCCAATATTCTTACTCTTTCAATTCCTTCCTCCCTCAACATAATTTATTTTCCCACTATCAAATCTACAAATATCTCCAAAGGGACATGTGTACTTCATTCTAACAGAGTAAGAATTCACATGTGTGGATCCCATAATTTTGAGAATCACATTATTTAAAAAATCTAGAGGTTTTTCCCTTGATATTTCCTCTGTGTTCCATGTCATCAATCTCCATATCTTTGTTGTCTCAATAGCATGAAAATATGCTACAATGTATCTCCTTTAAAATAACAAGTAAATAGCTAAGCAAATATGCAAAAATTTAAAATGCCCAGAAAAGAAAGAAAAAACGAATCATAATTCTCCAGTTATCACTCCATTGCTTTAAAATTCAAATCCAAATTATTAAACTTTTTTTCTTACCTGCATTGCATTCATTTCTCAACCCAGTTTTCTCAACTCTCAGAAGTGTTTAACATTGCTGGCCACTTTATTTCATATGAACCATGCCATTCTCTGGGCTTCTCTGGGAATCTACTTTCCTGGTTCTAGTTGTCTATTTCTGTGTGCTTCTTCTCAGTCACTTTGGCAGGTGTCTTATGCTCCTGACCTCCAATTATGGTTATTCCCAGGCCTCAAACATGGGCTACATGTCTTTTATCTACATATTTTCTTTAGTCGATCTTATCCTATTCCATATTTTACGTATCATCTACCTGTTGATGGTGATTGATTAATATAATAGATAGTTCCAAGCCCAACCTCATCTCTTTTCATAACAAATCAGTTATGTATCTTGATTTGTTGTTCTGTGAATGCATTAAATTTAAGATATGCAGAATTGTACCTCTTGTTTTTAATAACGAAACCTGTTTCTTATCCCGTTTTTTTTCCATTTCAGCAAATGCCATCACCATCTAAACAGTTGCTCAAGTAGAAATATTTGGCTTACTAGTCATGTGCCAGGTGTTTTGCATATCTTACCATTCTTTAAAGCAAACAACCTTATAAATTAGATATCATCATTCTCATCTGAAATACTAGGAGTTTGTTGCTCAGAAGGCTTTAGAAAGCTTTCACATCACTTAGACTTCACTCCAACACACTGAGCCCTTTCCATGCTACTATGTAAAAATGAAATATAACTTATTTTAAGAGAAACATAATGTGATTCATGCTTTCAAAGTCATCTTACCTTCAAATGAGGCATCTGTGTGTCGGGCACTTATGCCTAGTGATGATTTCATTGCTCAAAACAATTTCAGCTCTTCATTGCATTCGGGTATGCTTAGCATTGTTTTTGATGAATCTAAATGCTAGCAAATACACTTTTTAAGAATTATTCTGCTATAGAGAAGAGCTAAAGGTATTTAGACGTTAAATAAAATAAATGTTATTGATCAAATATAATTAAGAACATTTCATTTAAAATAATGCAAAAATAAGCTGGGCATGGTGGCACATGCCCATAGTCCCAGCTACTCAGGGGGCTGAGGTGGCAGGATTGCTTGAGGTCAGGAATTGGAAGCTCCAGAAAGCTATGATCAATCATGCCACTGCACTCCAGCCTGGATGACAAACAAGACTTTGTCTCTAAAATAAATAAATAAATAAATAAACATAAAAATTAGAGATACAGTAAATCCTTTCAATGTTTGTATATATTTATGTGTTTATGTACATTTGTATTCTAATTTCCTTTCCATGTTGTCACTCTGAGAAGTATATGCGTATTCCACTGATGATCTTTTGTTCAAGTAATTTTGTTAATCATCTTTTAGAATTGTTGAATTGGATACTTTACATTCTATGAAAATTATTTATACATTTATATTCATACTTCCTATTGGAGTAGAAATTTATGTATTCTAGTAAAAATATTTCTCTAAACAGTTATGAATTTTTATTCACCTATTTATGTACTAAACTGTACAGAGAAAAATATATTACAATTAGATATGTGAAACTAATTGGTTTTAATTACTCATGTAGACCTAGTAAGGTACTAGCTATCTGTCTGCCTCTGTGCTATTAGGGCAATGGGTTCCTACTTGACTGATGTTTGGGAAGAAATGGTTCCAGGCTGCCCATAGTATTTGCACAGCTTCTCCTGCTGATATGCTACATATACACTTGAATTGTAAGAAGAGGAAATCTCATATATTCTTAAAAAGCTACCCTCCTGCTCTTAGAAAAGCTGCAAATTTGTTTTGGAAGAAAAGAGAAAAAAAGGAATCTTTGTCTTAAATATTATATGCCTTTGAAGAGGTAAAGATTAATCATAATAATATTAATAGTAATAACAAGAACAACTACCATTTATTATGGGTTAACTGTGTTCTACCCATTCTCTGCACTTTAGAGATTTGATCACATTCTTTCCTTTCTGTCCAACAGTTTACTGTGAATCCTTGTTTTCTTTTTTAATGCCAAAGTGAGACTTACAATAAGCAAATTACCCAACTTTAGGTAGCAAATAAGTGGGGAGCCAGTAATCTGAACTGTTTGTCCTCAAATCAAAAAATAAAAGAAAAACAAAACACTTCTTTGGTTAAATCTGTCATCCTCCAAATTACTTGATTATGGAAAACTTCGTTTCTCTCCATCTCAATACTCCATATTAACATCTTGTAGAGTTAGTGTCCCATGGAACACTATTCAGAACATAAAATTTGCTTTTAACTTGTTCATTTTGAATAAAAGTAAACAGATGAAGATATAATAGGTTATTTGTTCAAGCTCACAAAGTTACAAACAGAAAAGCAGACACAGTACCTAGGACACAGTATGCGTTTAGGCATTTAGAATATATGTTTTTATCTCTTTTTAATTTTTTTAACCTCAGTCTAGCACCTTCCCACTATAATAAAACTGTCCAAAAATAAATAAATAAATAAAAGCTGATCATAAGGACTTCGGATTCATTTAAAGGATTTTATCTTCATAACAACAAAAGATAACTTTATTATTTGGGATCCTATTATTTCCTACTTATGTATCTAGGTCCTTTTATGGATATTACTTAATTTAGGTTTTAAAATGATTCTATATAACAGTCATTATTTTTCTTCATTTCTCAAGTAAGAATACTGAGGCCAAAATATATTATTGTCAGAAGAAATAATTTATAAGTAAAACTTTTTTCATTTCAACTCTGATTTGACTAAATTGTATTTTGTAATCATTAAGAGCTAAGAGGTAGAAAGTGAGTTTGAGAGTAAGAGCAAAAGTTAGAAGAGAGACAAGTAGGAAGGTTTTTCCCTAAATGGGTAATTTCCTGTCTTTAGATAAAGTACCAAAGTAATTAACCTCTCAGCAGATACAGACAATTGCAAGAGTTGTTAACACAGAGGGCATACTGAGGCATTATATGTAAGACTCATGATGTTTTACATCCTTAGAATGGAGTCAGGAAAACTTAAAATTAAGAAAATGAACAATAGTAATTAAACAAAATTGAAATGAAAATAAGGTCCCATTTAGTGGAATGTGAAGGACTCTTGAACACCTGCAGGTCTGTTTTACTAGTTCATATTTCCTCAGTTCTTAGCACAGTGCCTAGGACTTGCCGGACATTAAAATATTTGTTATTGCTTCATTTTTAACAATTTTTCTTCATAGAGGGCATTTTGTTTGGTTTTGTTCATTAACGTGTTCTTCAGTAACCTTTGAGAGATACACGTGTAATACAGGAATACTAAATACTACTACTAATATTAATAATAAAATAATAATGGAACATATAGCTTTATTCTATGTGTGCATTAACTGTTGATTAAGATCCTTTATGTTCAAAATTTCTGACACTTGTTAAAGCAGTAAAGAAGACTTTATTCGGGACTATTGTGATAGCTGTCTATAGCAATAGAAAAGAAGCATTGGGATCAACTGTGAATACAAGAACAAGTGAGAATTTGTGGCCAGGGAGCAGCTTGGGAAAGTTGGTGGGATGAAAATTACTAAAAGGACATACCAAGGATAGAGACATTGTTGCTCAACTGACCTAAGAGAAATTTTGTTGAAGGCAGGCAGAGTTATCAGAGACAGAGTTTAATAAGATTTACAGGTTCTTCGGCTATCATGGCAGGATTCCCTGTAAACCTTCTTAGCAGGTTCTTTCTAAAACTGGGCTATGCAGACCCAGGAAGGATCCAGCCAAGGTCAAAGCCTTGTCAAGAAAAGAGCATAGAAGGGCTTGACCAAAGTTGGTTAAGGAGAGATTCTTTGTCATATCGATTTTAATATTTTAGAGTTCTATGATTAAAGTAAAAGGTATATTCATAGTAACTTATTTTTCAGATTTTTATACCAAAGGAGTTAGTCTTCCCAGAAAGCTCAAGTTGACACATAGTACCCTACATTACAGACAGGACTCTGAAGGGACATGAAAAACCAATTCAACTAGATTCCAATTAAAAGGTCAACCAGTGAAAGTGGATTCCCCAAATTTAATGATTCATATCTTAGTGATATTTTTATATCAAAAGAAATCCTAAATTCACCTTTTTGGTACCCTGAAAACATAATTTGTAATGATTTTATACATGATATTGAGGTTATTAGGCAAACACAGGGGGTTTCTTTTTCTGAAAAAAAAATTAGATAAATTTTTATAATGATAATACAGTTCATATGAAAGTTAAAATATTAAAATGACAAATCTGGCTTGGATTCAAAATTAATTTTACTGATCTTTGTCAGCCAGTGTATATGTGACCAGAGCTTATTGAGAAGGGAGGGCAGAAAATTATCGAAAATATTTGACCATATATTGTGTTGAGTAAACATATACTTAAGGGAACAAGTGCATGAAAGATAAACTAGATGACAGGATTGTTTTAGGGTCATGAAATTTTAAAAGAAAAAAAAACAAAGAAAAAATGTAGGAGAGGATTGTTTTACAATACTAAATTTGTATGCCTCTAAAATAATTTAATTTTAGTACATCACATACTTCTTTAAGGAGACTTATTTCAGTTCCAGAAAAATGGAATGTCTGACCACTAATGACAATATCCATATTTCTCATCCAGTGTGAATAATCAGAAAAAGTTGCATCCTTTGGATTTCAAAAAGATTAATAGTTTACATGAATATTTAGAATTTGATGAGTAGAGCCATTTACATTTTATATACTCTTCTATTGGTTCAGAATTTTACATTTTTTCTTTCAATATTTATATAAGTTATTTTTCTGGTAACTTCAATGATACTATCCTGTTCTCCATGTTATTAAAACCAGTAATTCTATAATTTTCACTTAATGCACTCATTAATGCATTTCTCTATATTGAAAAAATAGAATATAGTCCATAATTGTCAGACCAGTTTTTGGAAAATGCTTAAGGGTAAACCTAGAGTCCCTTGAAAGAAAAGTACTTTTCACATATTCTAAAAGACACATACTTTATAAAATTTATAAGCTTTATTTAAATGTAAGTGGCTTTTAAATATTTACTTTATTCTTAAATAAACATATTGAGAAGGGAAAAAATAGTGTTCTATGATCCCTTCGGAAATAATAAATATATTTTTGTTACAACTTAAGGTACTATGTTTCTTTTTCAAAAGAATGAACAAGCCATGCGAATATTTATCTAGGAAACTAGGAAGATCTCTATATATGTTTTACTTTCAATCATAATGTGTCAAATGTCTGAACCAAAATTTTATTTATATACTAAAAGATACAAGATGGAATGTGTTTTCTGAGATTTGTTTCACATCAACCTTTTTGTGGGATGGGTGTTATGAATGTAGGTATAAATGAAACGAGATTTACTACGTGCTAAAAATTGTTGAACCTAGGTGATGAGTACATGTGTTTTTAAAAACATGTTGTAATTTTTATGTTTGAATGTTTTTTAATTCAAAATATATGTAATATTTTATATTTTCATGTATTGGTCAGAAAATTTACTTGCGGTCAGTGTTTACGTAGAAAGGTGGAGGAAAGTTAGAATAATAGCCTTTGTTTTTATGGCTGGCTTTGGGGAAAAGGGATTTTGCATTCTATGACTTCCCTAGTGGAAGAAAACACCAGATATTATTCCTACCATCTACCTATATTTTTGTATCAATTAATTAATTCCTTCTTTCCCCACCTCCTCACTCCCATTCTGAGCCTCTGGTACCATTATTCTCCTCTACTTTCACAAGATCAGTTTTTTCTTTAGCTTCCCAGTATGAGAGAGAACATATGATATTTGTCTTTCTGTGCCTGCCTTACTTCATTTAACGTAATATTCTCCAGCCTCATCTATATTGTTGCAAATAAAATAATATAATATTTTTTTAGGCTGAATAATATTCTATTATACATATGTACCGTATTTCATTTATTCATTCATCTTTAGATGAATATTTAGGTTGATTCCATATCTTGGCTATTGTGAACAGAGTTACAATAAACGTGAGAGTGCACATATATATTTGATGTATTTATTTCCTTTCTTTTGGATATACACCCAAAAGTGCAATGGCTGAATCTTTTTGTAATCTATGTTTCGTTTTTTGAAGAAACTCCATACTGATTTTCATAGTGGTTATATTAATTTAAACTCCAATGAACAGTGTACCAATGTTTCTCTTTCTCCAAATCATTGCCAGCATTTGTTATTTTTTGTCTTTTAGATAAAAACTATTTCAATTGGGGTTAGATGTCTCATTATAGTTTTGTTTGCATTTTTCTGATGATTAGTGATATTGAACATTTTTTATACACCTGTTGGCCATTTGTAAGTCTTATTTTGAGAAATGTCTAATGAGATCATTTGCCCATTTTTAATTCGTATGAATTAACTGAATTATATGAATATATGCATTGATATTGAGTTCCTTATATATTCTAGTTACTGATCTCCTGTCAGATATTTGTAGTTTGCAAATATTTTCTACAATTCCATAGTTTTGTATCAGGGCAATACTGGCCTCATAGAATGAATTTGGATGTATTACCTCCTCATCTATTTTTCAGAATAATTTGAGTAAAATTTGTACTTGTTCTTTAAATATTTGGTAGAACTCAGCAGTGAAGCCAATAGGTCTTGGAATTTACTTTGATAGAAGACTTTTTACTATGCTTCTATCCCATACTTGCTATTGTTTTTTTTTTAAATTTCTTCATTATTACATCTTAGTACGTTGTATGTGTTTAGAAATTTATCTGTTTCTTATAGGCTTTCCAATTTGTTGGTGTATAGTTGCTTACAAAAGTCTATAATTATCCTTTAAATTTCTGTGGTATCAGTTGTAATGTCTCCTTTTTTGTCTGTAATTTTTGGGGCTCCTCGATTTTCTTAGTCTCATTAAAATTTTCTGAATTTTGTTTATCCTTTCAAAAACTTTTCTTTTGATTTCGGTGATCTTTTGTACTTTTTAGTCTCAACTACATTTATTCCTGTTCTGGTCTTTATTATTTCTTTTATCCTACTAATTTTGGATTCACTTTGCTCTTGCTTTTCTGATTTTTTAAGATGCATCATTAAGTTGTTTATTTGTAGTCTTTCTACTTTTTGATCTAGGTATTTATCAGTATAAATTTCCCTCTCAGTACTACCTTTACTGTATTTCGTAGATTTTGGTATATTTTGTTTTCATTTTTATTTGCTTTAGAAATTTTTAAAACATTTTCTTAATTTTGTCATTGGCCCAATGGTTATTCAGAAGCACAGTGTTTAATTTCCATGTATTTTTACAATTCCCAAAGTTCCTCTTTTTATCGGTTTCTAGTTTTATTGTGGTTACCATGAGGCTTGCAAAAAAATACTTTTAACCAATTATTTTAAACTAATAGCAGCCCTGTAATCAGAGTTAAGTTGACATTAGTTTAAAATAACTGGTTAAAAATATTATTATTTCTTTTTTAAAAATAAAAGATAAAACAAAAAGAAAACAACAACAACCACAAAAAACCCTCTACTCTTTAAGACCCTTCCCTTCACTTTTTGACTTTTTTGTTTTTATTTAAATATTTTTACATTGACCATCTCCTAAAAATTGTTGCAGTTATTGTTATTCTTTTATAGGTTTATCTTTTAGTCATCATAGGAAAGACATGAGTGGTTTACACACCATAATTGCAGTATTGGAGCATTGTTTTATTTGTCTACTTACTTTTACCAATGAGTATTACACCTTCAGATATTTTCCTGTTGCACTTCAGCATCCTGTTCTTTTAGGCTGGGGAGATCCCTTTAGTATTTCTTGTAAGACTGCTCTGGGGTTAATGACTTTCCTCAGCTTTTGTTTGAGAAAGTTTTTATTTATTCTTTATATTAGAAATACAACTTTGTTAGACACACTATTCTATGTTTAATGTTTTTGGGTTTACTTCCTTTAGCACTTTGAATGTCATCTCACTTCTTCCTGGTTTGCAAGATTTCTACAGAGAAGTCTGCTGCCAGACATATAGGAGCTTCTTTATAGAGTCTTTGTTTCTCTTCTCTTGCTGCTTTTAGGATCTTTTTTTTTTTTTTTTTTGTCCTTAACCATTGAGAGTTTGATTATTATATGCTTTGAGGCAGTCTTTTTTTTTTTTTTTTTTTTTTTTTTTTTTTTGAGACGGAGTCTCGCTCTGTCGCCCAGGCCGGACTGCGGACTGCAGTGGCGCAATCTCGGCTCACAGCAAGCTCCGCTTCCCGGGTTCACGCCATTCTCCTGCCTCAGCCTCCCGAGTAGCTGGGACTACAGGCGCCCGCCACCGCGCCCGGCTAATTTTTTGTATTTTTAGTAGAGACGGGGTTTCACCTTGTTAGCCAGGATGGTCTCGATCTCCTGACCTCATGATCCACCCGCCTCGGCCTCCCAAAGTGCTGGGATTACAGGCGTGAGCCACCGCGCCCGGCCGAGGCAGTCTTATTTATGTTGGAATCTTCTGGTACCTAGATATTCATATCTCCCCCTAGGTTTGGAAAGTTCTCTGTTATTATTTATTTGAATAAACATTTTACCCTGATCCTTTTATCTACACCTTCTTTAAAGCCAATAAGTCTTATATTTGCCTTTTGTAGGCCATTCTCTAGATCTTGTAGACATACTTCATATTTCTTTCATTTTTATTTATTTTTTATATTCTGAATATTTATTTTCATGTGGTCTGTATTTGAGTTCACTAATTATTTGTTCTTCTTGAATAATTGTGCTTGATTAATTAGTTGTGACACTGATGTAGTTTTTGGTTTGTCCAATGAATTTCTCAGCTTCAGAATTTCTGTGTAATATTTTAAAAATTATTTTAATTTCTCTGTTAAATTTCTCTGTTAGACTTCTAAATTTCTTCTCTAGGTTATCCAGACATTTGGCAAACTTCCTTAAGACAGCTATTTTTAAATTTTCTGTCTGATAGGTCAAACATCTCCATTACTCCAGGATTTGTCAGTGGTGCCTTATTTAGTCTGCTTGATGAGGTCGTGTTTTCTGGATGTTCTTGCTGCTTGTGGATGTCCACCAATTTCTGAGTATTGAAGAATTATTTATACCAGTCTTTGTAGTCTGACTTACTTGTATCCATCCTTCTTGAAAAGGCTTTCCACAAACTCAAAAGGGATTGAGTGTTGTTACCTAAGCCTGTGGTCACTGCAGCCATTTCATTACTAGGGAGCGCCGTAAGCCCAGGCATGCTATAGCTCTTGCAGTGTCCTTGGTATACAGTGTTGGTGAACTTGGGAATGATAAGGAAGCATTCCCTGGGTTCCCAGGCAAAGTCTCTCATTCCTTTCTTCTCTTGTCCAAAAGCAGAAGACGACTTTCTTCACTAGGGACTGCCTGGAATTGAAGGAGGCGTAGCACTGCTACTGTCAGGCTGCCATTGATGTTTATTCAAGGCCCCAGGCCTCTTTGATCAACAGATGGTAAATATTGCTAGGACTTGGTCCATCTTACCATAGCAGAAGATTCTTTTCTGGCCCAAGGTGGATCTAAAAATGCTATCCAGAAGCAAGCACCCAGAATCAGGGGATTCAAGATTTTGTCTGGTGCTTTATTTTACTGTGGCTGAACTGGTACCCTCAAGGCGAAGTCCTCTATACTCTTCTCTTTCCTTCCTCTAGTGAGGAAGTCTCCCTCTGTGCTGCACTGCATGAATTTGGGGGAGAGGTGACATAGTCATTCCTGCGGTCCTCACAGCTGGCACAGTGCCTGGAAATACCCCAAATCCATGGCCTCCCAGACCAACATGGCAACAGGGCTCACCCAAATCCTTGGCCACTACTGCCTGGCTACTGAGGATGTTTATTGAAGTCCCAAGGCCATTTTAGTCAGCATATAGTGAATCTTACTAGAATTCGGTCCATCCTGCCAGGGCAGCAGAGTCCCCTCAGCCCCAAAGTGGGTCTAGAAACACTGTGGGATCAAATGTTCACAATCAGAGGCTTCAGGATTCCACCCAGTACTTTATTTTACTATTGCTGTGCTGGTACCCAATTGTAAGACAAAATCCTTTATGCTCTTTTCTCTCCTTCCCCCAAGCAGAAGGAGTTTCTATCTGTACTGCTCTGCCTGCAATTTGGGTAGCAGTAATGCAACCCCTCCTTTTGCTTCAGCTAGTGTCACACTGAGTCACACCACAAACTCACAGCCTTCCAGACCAGCTCAGCATCAGGGCTTACCCCAGGACTGGAGTTGCTATGCTCTGACTGCCACTCAAATTTATTCAGGGCCCTGAGGCGTTTTAATCAGTCGGTGTTGAAGCAGGTTGGGACTTGAGTTCCTCTCATTGGGCAGAGGATTCCCCTCTAGCCCAGATGTGGTCTAAATGCTTTCTTTATGGGCAACAGCAGAAATATTCCTGGTGTGTGTTCCACTATGACAGGGAAGCCCAGAGTTCTAACACAAAATTTCACACTCACTTTCCTCTCTCGCCTTCAAGCACACAGATACCTTCTTCTTGCTGGGATCAGGTAAGGGGAGGTGTAGGAATGCAAAATTGTCCTTCCTACCCTCTTCAATGCATATATTCTTGTTATTATGAAAAATCAGGTACTATGATAGATAATTCACCTGATTTTTCTATTCTTATAAAGGTATTTTCTTGCATAGACAATTGTTCAATTTGGTGTTCCTGCAGAGGGATGATTGGTCCAGTATTCTATTTACCCATCTTGCTCTGCCTCATCCTCAAAATCTATAGCAATTTTAATGTTTCTCTTTATGACAATTTTTTAAAGTTTATAATAATCTAATTATCAATGTAATTGTCTTCTGACTAAACTGGGACTCCTTGTTTAAAACTATCTCCCACTGGAACTACCAGTATCTGGCACATAGTACAGACACTCAATAACAATAAATATATCTTTAATTAAAATATTAATAAAAGTCCTTCATTCAATGGCTGCCTTGGGACAAGAATATGTTGTATCAGAAAATGCAATTACATTTTAACTATGGAGTATCTATACATGTTTTGTGTGAATCTATTTTTGTATAGAGCTAGGAATTATTTATATCAATAGATTACATATTTGTCTTATGTATTTGCACATTTATTCAAAAGTGTGTCTTCTAGAAAATGAACTATAAAGCAGTGTGTAATTCATGAGCTTGCATTGTAGTTCAACAAACTAAACTCATAAAGTCAGATTTGCTAGGGCATAAGAAATGCTGAGAAGTAAAATAAAAGGATATAAATTGATGGAGAATTTCTTAAAGAAAGTGTTGTTGCATGTATTTGTATAGATGAAAGACTTTTCTGACAGGGTAGCATTTGAGCAAGGCCATGTCTTAAGTGAGGATGTGGGCCAAGTCCCCATCAGAGAAAGAGTCCAGACCAAGGGGATTTCCATTACAAAGGTCCTCAGGCAGGAGTGTGTTTGGATGATTTAAGGAAGAGCAAGGAGGCCAGTATGGCTAAAGCAGTAATGAGTAATTCTGTATACCACTTTGCCAGTTTTCATAAATTTATCTTAAAGAAAAAATAAAATAAATTGGCCTGACACTATGTAATTGACTCTTATCTCTGTTCTACATCATTTTCACAAACATGTTTGATTTTTTTCTCTTATTATTACTCATGAAATAAGCTATAAATATGACAGAAGCTCTTCATTCCTTGATTAGTGAGGCACCATGAACAGCCCTAGTGAATCTACCTGCTAGGATAATGCATACTGTGAATGACATTTTAGTTTCTAAGATGTTTGGTAAACATCTAAATAGACATGATAGTAATATTTGTACTATGACTAATTGTAATAAATGCTGGTTTATTTATTTCTGTGACCTTCCTTTTTTGTGTGGTTAATTGTGGCTGATCTGTAAAAAATGTTTCAAATTGCCTAGGAAATCAATTTTTTTCTTCTTATATAGATAGTGTATACCTTCACCCCCTGGTATCCATAGGGTATTGGTTCCAGGATGCCTTTTCACCCCTAGTGGATACAAAAATCTGTAGATACTTAAGTCCCTTATTTAACAACCTTCAAAATGGTGTTGAATTTGCATGTAACCTACACACATCCTCTCATATATTTTAAATATCTCTAGGTTCTTTAAAATACCTAATGCAATGCAAATTCTATGTAAATAGTTGATACACTGTATTCTGCTTTATTTGTATTACTTATTATTGTTATATTTTTATTTTTATGGCTTTTTTTCCGAATATTTTAGAACTATGGTTGTTTGAATCTACAGATGTAAAATCCAGGGATGTGAAACTCACAGATACAGAGGTCCAACTCTATTTACACAGTATTTTTTAAAAGAGAAAAACTGAAACTAAAAAAAATCTTAAAAGTTCAAAAAAATAAAAAAGACAAATGAATTCAATAGTTTTTAAAATAAAGCTATATCCCAATATTAGATATCAGCATAGAAACTAAATGGGAATATGGGGGAAAATAATATGATTTGCCTATTTAACAAAGTTGATTTAAGAAATAGCAAACTTTACATTGAAATAATATATTCTCCACTGTTTTATTCTTTTACTTTAAAATAATCACCTGTAAAAACTATGTCATTATGTAAAACCATTTGGCAGTTTCTTATGAAGCTAAACATGTACTTACCATATTAACCAGTAACCTCGATCCTTTTTCTTTACTCAAATTCATGCAAAAATTTGTGCATGAATGTTTATAATAGCTTTATTCGTAATTGCCAATTCCTTCAACTCGTATATGGATAACCAGACCGTGATTCATCTATGCAACATAATACCACTCAGTAATACAAAAAAAAGTAACTCCTGGGGCACACAAAACAAGGATAAATCTCAAACGCATTAGACTAAGTAAAAGGAGCCAGACAAAAAAAAATCCTAAATATTGTATGATCATATTTCTAAGATGTTCTTGCAAAAGAAAACTATACAAAGAACTCATCAATGTTTGCCAGGAGTTGGGGGTGGGAGAAGAGGCTGACTACAAAGAGCACAAGGGAATATTTTTGAAGTGATTGAGATTATATATCATGATTGTGATGGTGGCTGAGAACCTACTGCAATCAACTTATAATTGTCACCAAATACAATCTAGGAAGCAATGTAATATGGTAAAGATTACCAAAACCAAAACCAGTTTCTTTGTCTACTTGAACACAAGTTCCTTGTCTACTTGAACACAAGTGAAAAAAGAAATCCTCTCTTATAATAGGTCTTTAAAATGCTGAAAGTTTTTCATTAAAGATGTTATTATTATCTTATCTGACACAAGAACTTTGCTAAAAACCTTTATCCTGACTGAGATGTCTAAAATTTTTACTCATTGCCTTACAAAAGAAAATCATTAATTAATTCAAGTTCTGTAAATTAGATGTCTAAATTTGTATTAGGGAAAAGTTCATCTATATCATAGGGCACAACATATCACTTAGCAATTCCCTAATAAGCACTCTGTTGTGCCCACGGGATTTTTTAATCTGGACATTTCCTATATACAAACAATTATTCCCCTCTTCATCAATGTATCCCTTCACTGAACATTACCTGTATGTTTAGTTTGAACTGTATAAAATTGAAATTTTACAGTTAAATATTTTTCACAAACATAGCTAGACCTGGTTCTTGTATTCTTACCCTTTCCTATTTCAGTCTACTGTCAAAGTTCCGGATTTCTTTTTATTTTAACATATTAATTACAATTTTAAAAATTAAAAAGCATTTCTTGGGATTGGAGTTTTTTACAAAGAGGAGAAATTTGCAAGGATATATAAAGGCAAATATAAATACTATAATTTCCAGTAAAACTTTATCCCAACTGAATTAATACATTCTATAATTATGAATAAGCATTCATTCTTGAAATAGAGAAAAAATTAAGACAAATTTGTGGCTGATTGTTTGTGTACTGTTATGATAAAAGTTAATTGTGATCTTGTATCTATCTTTGTTTCATACAAAATCGGCAACTCATGCATATTAAATTTGTGAATAAATTGTTAGGCAGAAAAGAGAAGAAATTCTAGTGATTAGACAATTATTGTCCTGTTAATCAATCATAAAGAAATGATCAGATAATTGAATTCACATTCAGAGTGTTTGATTTTTGTGTTTCATGGTTTATAATAACTCTACTTTTAAAATAGTATGGTACCATAGTCAACTGATAAATAATACAAGATTATTTAGGGAACAAGTTCATTTGCAGCATGTGCAAGACAGGTCCCTGGCCAGTTTGCCTAAGCCAGCTCTTCCCCCACTTTCTTGCCTGCATTTCTCAGAAAAACTGCAGAATGTGCTGGGAAAGCATTATTCTGAGATAAGGAGAAACTGTCTGGAATAGCTGGGCTCTGTTCCCATCTCTCCTAGAACAGGGTGCCCCACAATGTGTTAGCTCCATGACCCTAGTTTCCTCCAGAGTATAAAACTTAGGTTAGAGTGTTTGTGGGGTCCCTCAGCTGCAATATGAGGTTGGGCACATGTAGATGAGATTCTGTCTTTCCTAGAAAGCTTTCCTGAGCCTTGAGGGAGTGGCTTGTTATGAATTCTACACTTCTATTGTCCTTTGTTGTTTATTGGTCAGTAATAAGTTTGCTCCACTTAATATGTTGTATGAGTGTTCTCTCACCTGACTTGTGCAAGTCGTAGAGTATTTGGTGCATGGTAAACTTGCTTCAGTCAGCTTTACAACAAGAATCAAGGTCAAAATAATGTGAAATCATTAACAAAGCTATGAATAGTGCCAGCAATTAATGTTTAGGTTAGTATTAGCATGGACAAGCAGCCATTAGATTATTCAGAAGTCTTCACATATTAATGTTCTATAACATCATCAGATGTTGAACAGAGAGTTGCCAAATAAGACATACTTTAATAAAGAGAAAGATAAAAACAAACAGGTCATTCCATGAAGTTAGAAAAAGTAGTCTAGAAGCAATCATTCCCCAAATCTAGACAGCTAGATGTTCACACATAGATGGGAGCATGGAGGGAGTTTCCTGTTCCAGGTTTAAAACTTCTATTTGACAGTTTCGAGTTTAGTGTTCTCCCTGCTGCACCTGTTATTCTGCAGGTGTGATTCCGCAGTTGGTGACACTTGATTAAAATGAGGAGGGCAATGACAGAAAATCAGCAACAGGTGTTCCTAAGCAAATACACATTTAATGTACATTCTGAAAGTTTTTCTCATTTTTATTGATGCTGTCACTTGAACACTTAGATTTCTTTTCTTTATTGTAACATTTTTATGAAACATCAAGTAGAGATTCATATGTGGGTACATAGAAGGTGTATATATTTATGGGGTACATGAGATATTTTGATGCAGGCATTCAAAGCATAATAATCACATCAAAGTAAATGAGGTGTCTATCACCTCAAGCATTTCTTGCTCAATTTTTATGTATGTGTTTTTTCTCTGAAGATTGAACCATGGTAGTTTTTAACATTAATAGTTCTGGTTTAAAGGTAAGTTAACAACTCAGTGACATTTGATGATTTTCCTAAAGTCACAGAATTAATAATAAGAAAATCAATATTTTAATTGGATGGATGTGCTGGGGGGGTGGTGGGGGTGGTGGTGGTGGTGGTGGTGGGCTGTTACAAGAGATTGCTGCATTGTAATCTTTTCATACCTTTAGTTGTTTATTGGGTCCACTTCTTCCTAGGAGCAGAAACTAAGATTTAGTTTATTTGTTGGGATCAATACACACTGGCAAGTGAGTGTGGCAGTAGTACAGGGAAGGTAATGCAAGCCAAGAGGATATATTGGACAGCTGGCTACCTTGAACTAATCCTGCAAGACCATGCTGGGACATGACAGAGAACACATGCCTTTGATATATCATGGCCAAGAGGAATGGGAATCAAAATATTAATAATCCCATACTTGTCAGGCATTGCTGAAGGGATATTCTCTGCAGGGACATAATTTTCTAGTCACTTCTGGCTCACCTGTAAGAGAGCACACAATGTAGGTTTCAGCTAGTCGGGGATATCCCACATGCTAAGATATGGTACTGACTATTAGAAATGTGATCAGAAATCCTACAAAGGTGATCTTAACTAGCTTAGGCTGCCATAAGAAAACGCAAAGACTCAGTGGCTTAAACAGAAGACATTTATTTCTCATAGTTCCAGAGGCTGGAAAATCCAAAGTCAAGGTATGACAGATTCAGTTCTTAGTCAAAGCTCTCTTCTTGGCTTGCAGATGGCTTCCTTCTCTCTCTAATCATAGCAAAGAGCAAAAGCTCCAGTATTTTCTCATAAGGAAATAAATCCCATAATGGAGCCTCCACCATCATGACATCATCTAAAACTAATTACATCCCAAGAGGCCCACCTCTCAACACTATCAAGAGTCAAGACTTCAACACGTGAATTCTGGGGGGCGGTTACAAACAATTCATAATGAGAGTCCAAACAATTATAGATTTAGTACTAACAAGTCTACCTCCAAATACGTAATTCTTATAAACATCTTATGACATCGATAGTATTATTATTCTCACTATAGAAATGAAAACAGAGAGACCTGGAAATTTTAGTAATGTTCTCAAGATCACACAGCCTAGAAAGACAAAATAGCCCTGCTTAGTTCTCTGTTTCAAGTCGGTGATTTTAACTTCGTTTTTAGTCTTCAAAGATGTGAGTTTTTCTTGATTTTATATTTGTTTAGTAATAAAGGCTAATGTGTTAACAGTAATAATATAAAATAATGTTTCTTTTTTTACCAAAGATTTTATCTTTTGAACCACAGGTAGAAACTGTGCCTATATGAATGTGGAGTAAATCTAAATTTACTAATTAGGTAAATTACTTATATAGTAATATCACACAGCAGGATTTAGAAATGTCAGTTGTGGGTTTTCTAGGCTACTCAGAGCATTCAGCACAACCCACAGCAAGGCATTATGTTCAAATGATGTATAATTCCCTGATGTTATTTTAGACAGCTTGTATATAAATGAGTACAGAAGAAAGGAGTGGAGTTGGCGTGGGAATATAAGAAAACATGTGTTGAGGGGCAAAGCAGGATAACCAAATAGAAGGCTCCAAAAATCATTGCCCCTGCAAGGACATTAATTTAACAATTATCTACACACAAAAAACACCTTCATAAGAACCAAAAATCAGGTGAGCAGTTACAGTATCTGGTTGTAACTTCCCACCACATAAGAGGCAATAAGAGGGAAGGAAAGACTGTCTTTAATTGCTGATGTTACCACTCACCCATTCCCTGGCAGTGACTCATGGCACAGAGTCTGTGCACTTGGTAGAGCACCAGTCAGAGTCATGAGAACCCCCTTCCAGGACCTAGGGCCCAAACAACCTTTCCAGACACACCGTGGGCTAAAAGGGAAACTACTACCCAACACTGGACAATTTACAAAAGACAGAAGTTTAATTGGACTTACAGTTGCACCTGGCTGGGGAAGCCTCACAATCATGGCTTAAGGCAAGGAAGAGAAAGTCACGTCTTACATGGTTGGGAAGAGTCAAAGAGACAGAACGAGAGCCAAATGAAATGGGTTTCCCCTTTTCAAACCATCAGATCTCATGAGACGTATTCACTACCATGAGAGTATGGGAGAAACTGCCCCCATGATTCAATTATCTCCCACTGGGTCTCTCCCACAACACATGGGAATTATGGGAATACAATTCAAGATGAGATCTGGGTTGGGATATAGAGCCAAACCATCATTCCACCCCTGACCTCTGCCAAAACTTATGTCTTCACATTTCAAAACCAGTCCCCCAAAGTCTTAACTCATTTCAGCATTAACTCAAAAGTCCATAGTCCAATGTCTTATCTGAGACAAGTCCCTTCCACCTATGAGCCTGTAAAATCACAAGCAACTTAATTACTTCTTAGATACAATGGAGGTACAGGTACTGGGTAAATATAGCCATTTCAAATGGAAGAAATTGGCCAAAACAAAGAGGCTATAGGCCCCAGGCAAGTCCAAAATCCAGCAGGGCAGTCAAATATTTAAGCTCTGAAATGATCTCTGTTGACTCCATGTCTCACATCTGGGTCATGCTGATGCAAGAAGTGGGTTCTCTGGTCTTGGACGGCTCTGCCCCTGTGGCTCTGCAGGGTGTAGCCTCCCTCCCAGCTGCTTTCATGTGCTGGTGTTGAATGTCTGGCTTTTCCAGGCTCATGGTGCAAGCTGTCAGTGGATCTACCATTCTGGGGTCTGGAGAATACTGGCCCTCTTCTCACAGTTCCACTAGTTGTTGCCCAAGTAGAGACTCTGTGTGAGGGCTGTGACCCCACATTTCCCTTCCATAATGCCCTAGCAGAGGTTCTCTATGAGAGCCCTGCCCCTGTAGCAAACTTCTGCTTGGATATCCAGGTGTTTCCATACATCCTCTGAAATCTAGGCAGAGATTTCCTAACCTCAATTCTTGACTTCTGTGCCCCAACAGGCTCAAAACCACGTGGAAACTTCCAAGCCTTGGGGCTTGTACCCTCTGAAGCCACAGCCTGAACTGTACCTTGCCCCCTTTTAGTCAAGGGGTGGAGCAACTGGGAGGCAGGGCACCAAGTCCCTAGGCTACATGCAGCACGGGGAACTTGGGCCTGGCCCACGAAACCATTTTTTCCTACTAGGCCTGTAGGAAACGTAATGGGAGGGGCTGCTGCAAAGACCTCTGACATGCCCTGTAGACATTTACCCCTTGTCTTTGGGATTAACATTTGGCTCATCATTACTTATGCAAATTTCTGCAGCTGGCTTGGCTTGAGTTTGTCCTCAAAAAAAAAAAAAAAAAAAAAAAAGAGATTTTCTTTTCTATCACATTGTCAGGCTGCAAATTTTCCAAACTTTTATACTCTGCTTCCCTTATAAAATTGAATGCCTTTAACAGCTCCCAAGTCACCTCTTGAATGCTTTGCTGCTGAGAAATTTCTTCTGTCAGATACCCTAAATCATCTCTCTCAAGTTCAAAGTTCCACAAATCTCCAGGGCAGGGGCAAAATGCTGCCAGTATCTTTGCTAAAACATAATGAGAGTCACCTTTTCTTCCAGTTCCCAACAAGTTTCTCATCTCCATCTGAGCCCACTTTACCCTGGACCTTATTATCCATATTGCCATCAGCATTTTGGGCAAAAGCCATTCAACAAGTCTCTAGGAAGTTCCAAACTTTCCCACGTTTTTCTGTCTTCTGAGCCCACAAACTGTTCCAGCCTCTGCTTGTTACCCAGTTCCAAAGTCACTTCTATATTTTCAGTTATATTTTCAGCAATGCCCTACTCTACTGGTACCAATTTACTGTGTTAGTCCATGTTCATGTTGCTGATAAAGACATACCTTATGAATCTGAGTACTCCTGTATTGGGTACATATATATTTAGGATAGTTAGCTCTTCTTGTTGAATTGATACCTTTACCACTATGTAATGGCCTTATTTGTCTCTTTTAATCTTTGTTGGTTTAAAGTCCATTTTATTAGAGACTAGGATTGCAACCCCTGCTTTTTTTTTTTTTTTCTATCCATTTGCTTGGTAGATCTTTCTCCATCCCTTTATTTTGAGCCTATGTGTGTCTCTGCACATGAGATTGGTCTCCTGAACACAGCACACTGATGGGTCTTGATTCTTTATCCAATTTGCCAGTCTGTGTCTTTTATATGGGGCATTTAGCCCATTTACATTTAAGGTTAATATTGTTACACATGAATTTGATCATGTCATTATGATGTTAGCTGGTTATTTTGCCCATTAAATCGATGCAGTTTCTTCATAGCCTTGATGGTCTTTACAATTTGGCATGTTATTGCAGTGGCTGGTACTGGTTGATTCTTTCCATGTTTAGTGCTTCCTTCAGGAGCTCTTGTAAGGCAGGCCTGGTGGTGACAAAATCCTTAACATTTGCTTGTCTGTAAAGGATTTTATTTCTCCTTCACTTATGAAGCTTGGTTTGGCTGGATATGAAATTCTGGGCTGAAAATTATTTTCTTTAAGAATGTTGAAGATTGGCCCCCACTCTCTTCTGGCTTGTAGAGTTTCTGCTGAGAGATCCACTGTTAGTCTGATTGGCTTCCCTTTGTAGGCAACCCAACCTTTCTCTCTGGCTGCCTTAACATTTTTCCCTTCATTTCAACCTTGGTGCATCTGACAATTATGTGTCTTGGGGTTGCTCTCCTTGAGGAGTATCTTTGTGGCATTCTCTGTATTTCCTGAATTTGAATGTTGGCCTGCCTTGCTATGTTGGGGAAGTTCTCCTGGATAATATCCTGAAGAGTATTTTTCAACTTAGTTCCATTCAAGATCGGGAGAAATTATACCAGATTTTTAGAATACTAAAAAGTGAAAAAGGTAAAAAAAAAAAAAAAAAAAATTAAAAGAGACAAAGAAGGCCATTGCATAATGGTAAAAGGATCAATGCAACAAGAAGAGCTGACTATCCTAAATATATATGCACCCAATACAGGAGCACCCAGATTCATAAAGCAAGTTCTTAGAGACCTACAAAGAGACTTAGACTCCCACACAATAATAATGGGAGACTTTAACACCCCACTGTCAATATTAGACAGATCAATGAGACAGACGGTTAACAAGGATATCCATGACTTGAACTCAGCTCTGCACTGAGCAGACCTAATAGACATTTACAGAACTCTCCACCCCAAATCAACAGAATATACATTCTTCTCAGCACTACCTCACACTTATGCTAAAATTGACCACAAAATTGGAAGTAAAACACTCCTCAGCATATGTAAAAGAACAGAAATCAACAGAATATACATTCTTCTCAGTGCCACATTGCACTTATTCTAACATTGACCACATAATTGGAAGTGAAGCACTCCTCAACAAATGGAAGAGAACAGAAATCACAACAAACTATCTCTCAGACCACAGTGCAATCAAATTAGAATTCAGGATTAAGAAACTCACTTAAAACCACACTACTACATGGAAACTGAGCAACCTGCTCCTGAATGACTACTGGGCAAATAAAGAAACTAAGGCAGAAATAAAGATGTTCTTTGAAACCAATGAGAACAAAGATGCAACGTACCAGGATCTCTGGGACACAATTAAAGCAGTATGTAGAAGTAAATTTATAGCACTAAATGCCCACAAGAAAAAGCAGGAAAGATCTAAATTGACACCCTAACATCACAATTAAAAGAACTAGAGAAGCAAGGGCAAACAATTCAAAAGCAAGCAGAAGGCAAAAAATAACTAAGATCAGAGCAGAACTGAAGGGGATAGAGACACAAAAACCCTTCAAAAAATCAATGAATCCAGGAGCTGGTTTTTTAAAAGATCAACAAAATAGATAGACCACTAGCTAGACTAATAAACAAGAAAACAGAGAAGAATCAAATAGACTCAATAAAAAATGATAAAGGGGATATCACCACTGATCCCACAGAAATACAAACTACTGACAGAGAATACTATAAACACTTCTATGCAAATAAACTAGAAAATCTAGAAGAAACGGATCAAGTCAGCTTCATCCATAGAATACAAGGCTGGTTCAACATACACAAATTAATAAATGTAATCCATCACACAAACAGAATCAATGACAGAAACCACATGATTATCTCAATAGATGCAGACAAGGCCTTCGACAAAATTCAACAGCGCTTCATGCTAAAAACTCTCAACAAACTAAATGTTGATGGAATGTATCTCAAAATAATAAGAGCTATTTATGACAAACCCATAGCCAATATCACACTGAATGGGCAAAAACTGGAAGCATTCCCTTTGAAAACTGGCACAAGACAAGGTTGTCCTCTCTCACGACTCCTATTCAACATAGTGTTGGAAGTTCTGGCCAGGGCAATAAGGCAAGAGAAAAAAATAAAGGGTATTCAATTAGGAAAAGAGGAAGTCAAATTGTCCCTGATTGCAGATGACATGACTGTATATTTAGAAAATCCCATCATCTCAGCCCAAAATCTACTTAAGCTGATAAGCAACTTCAGCAAAGTCTCAGGATACAAAATCATTTTGCAAAAATCACAAACATTCCTATACACCAATAACAGACAAACAGAGAGCCAAATCACAAGTGAACTCCCATTCACAATTGCTTCAAAGAAAATAAAATACCTAGGAATCCAACTTACAAGGGATATGAAGGACCTCTTCAAGGAGAACTACAAACAACTGCTCAACAAAATAAAAGAGGACACAAACAAATGGCAGAATATTCCATGCTCAGGGATAGGAAGAATCAATATCATGAAAATGGCCATACTTCCCAAGGTAATTTATAGATTCAATGCCATCCCCATCAAGCTACCAATAACTTTCTTCACAGAATTGGAAAAAACTACTTTAAAGTTCATATGGAACTAAAAAAGAGCCCGCATTGCCAAGACAATCCTAAGCAAAAGGAACAAAGCTGGAGGCATCATGCTACCTGACTTCAAACTATACTACAAGGCTACAGTAACCAAAACAGCATAGTACTGGTACCAAAACAGACATATAGACCAATGGAGCAGAAAAGAGGCCTCAGAAATAACATCATACGTCTACAACCATCTAATCTTTGACAAACCTGACAAAAATAAGAAATGGGGAAAGGATTCCCTATTTAATAAATGGTGCTGGGAAAACCGGCTAACCATGTGTACAAAGCTGAAACTGGATCCTTTCCTTACATCTTATACAAAAATTAATTCAAGATGGATTAAAGACTTAAATATTAGATCTAAAACCATAAAAACCCTAGAAGAAAACCTAGGCAATACCATTGAGGACATAGGCATGGGCAAGGACTTCATGACTAAAACACCAAAAGCCATGGCAACAAAAGGCAAAATAGACAAATGGGATCTAATTAAACTAAAGAGCTTCTGCACGGCAAAAGAAACTACCATCTGAGTGAACCAGCAACCTACAGAATGGGAGAAAATTTTTGCAATCTACCCATCTGACAAAGGGCTAATATCTAGAATCTACAAAGAACTGAAATAAATTTACAAGAAGAAAACAAACTACCCCATCAAAAAGTGGGCAAAGGATACAAACAGACACTTCTCAAAAGAAGACATTTATGCAGCCAATAGACACATAAAAAATGCTCGTCATCATTGATCATCAGAGAAATGCAAATCAAAACCACAATGAGATACCATCTCACACCAGTTAGAATGGCGATCATTAAAAAGTCAGGAAACAACAGATGCTGGAGAGGATGTGGAGAAATAGGAACACTTTTACACTGTTGGTTGGAGTGTAAACTAGTTCAACCATTGTGGAAGACAGTGTGGCGAGTCCTCAAGGATCTAGAACTAGAAATACCATTTGACCCAGCCATCCCATTACTGGGTGTATATACCCAAAGGATTATAAATCATGTTGCTATAAAGACACATGCACACATATGTTTATTGCAGCACTATTCACAATAGCAAAGACTTGGAACCAACCCAAATGTCCATCAATGATAGACTGGATTAAGAAAATGTGGCACATATACACCACGGAATACTATGCAGCCATAAAAAAGGATGAGTTCATGTCCTTTGCAGGGACATGGATGAAGCTGGAAACCATCACTCTCAGCAAGCTATCACAAAGACAGAAAACCAAACACCACATATTCTAACTCATAGGTGGGAACTGAACAATAAGAACACTTGGACACAGGGTGAGGAGCATCACACACTGGTTCCTGTTGGGAGGTGGGGGGGTTGGGGGAGGGATAGCGTTAGGAGAAATACCTAATGTAAATGACGAGTTGATGAGTGCGGCAAACCACCATGGCACATGAATACCTATGTATCAAACCTGCGTATTGTGCACATGTACCCTAGAACTTAAAGTATATATATATACACACATATATATGTATATATATACACGTATATATATAACTTAAAGTGAGAGGCCTACCTTTCTGAGGTCAAAAAAAAATAAAAACATACCTGAGACTGGGCAATTTACAAAAGACATAGGTTTAATTGGACTTACATTTCTGCATGGCTGGGGAAGCCTCACAATCATGGCAGAAGGCAAGGAAGAGCAAGTCACATCTTACGTGGATGGCAACAGGTAAAGAGAAAGAACGAGAGCCAAGTGAAATGGGTTTCCCCTTATCAAATCATCAGGTCTTGTGAGACTTATTCACTACCATGAGAACAGTAAGAGAGAAACTGCCCCCATGATTCAATTATCTCCCACCAGGTCCCTCCCACAACACGTGGGAATTATGGGAGTACAATTCAAGATGAGATTTGGGTGGGGACACAGAGTCAAAACATATCAATACCCCATTGACCATAATATGATTACTATGCATTTCATGCGTGTATCAAAATGTCTCATGCAACCTGCAAAGATACACACCTACTGTGTACCTTCAAAAATTAAAAAAATATATATTTTTAAAAAGAGCACATGTATTTCTATAATAACAATTTTAGAGAGCTAGATAAATCTAAAGGAAGCATGCTTGCAGAAAATAATACTTGTTTTGAAATTCCTTATAAACCTTTACTATAATTTCAGTGCAAATCTTAATCTTTCACCTTTAGTTTTTGTTTCCCTTTGGAAACCTATTCAACAAATATTTATTGAAGACCTGTTATAACCCTATCATTTTGCTTTGTCTTACAATTATAGGTGAACAAGACAATCAGGATTTCTACCCTACAAAGTGTTAAGGAAGACAGAAAATAAGCAAATCAATACACAACACATTGAGATAAGGGCCACGATGAAAATGTAAACAAGTGGATGTCATAGGAAGAGTGGAAGAAGTCCTTCATGTTGGGAGTTTAGGGAATAGATATTTCAGAAGATGTGGTTTAAGGTGAATGAGAGAGTAAGCTAGCTATGAGAAGCATGTCATAGAGAAAGTGTATTAGTGCATTCTCACACTACTAATAAAGACACACCTGAGACTGGGTAATCTATAAAGAAAAGAGGTTTAATTTGCTCACAGTTCAGCATGGCTGAGGAGGCCTCAGAAAACTTTCAATCATGGTGGAAGAGGAAGCACACATGTCCCTCTTCACATGGTGGCAGAAAGGAGAAGTGCAGAGTGAAGGTGGCCGGGTGGAGAGCCCCTTAAAAAGCTATCAGATGTCATGAGAACTCACTCACTACCACGAGAACAGCATGGCAGTAACCACCCCCACGATTCAATTGCTTCCCATTGGGTTCCTCCCATGACATGTGGGGATTATGAGAACTACAGTTCAAGACAAGATTTGGGTAGGGACACAGCCAAACCATATCAAAAAGAGTGACAATTTTCATGGCAGAGGAGAACTTGGTGGGCTTATGGGACAAGAGAAGACCAGTGTGCTTGAATCACTTTAAACAAAGGGTGGCAGAAAGTAGATGAGATTTGAAAGTTAGGCAGGAACTAACCCTTTATGTTATAGAGATAGGTACTTCACAATAAAAGGGTTCAATTTCATTCTGAGCAATATTAAAAATCTAATGAAGATTTTAAAAAGAGTGATGCAGAACACAATTATCTATCTATCTATCTATCTATCTATCTATCTATCTATCTATCAACTACCTATCTGTCCACTCATCCATCCATTCATCTGTCTTGCTATCCATCCATCCATCCATCCATCCATCCATCCATCCATCTATCCATCTCTCTAACTCAGGATTTCCTTTCATCCAGAATGGAAGAATTGGAGAGAGACGTATATGAGTAGTTTGGGGAAATTATTTTGAGGTAGAATAAATAGGAACAAATTTTATTTTGTTAACATTTCAAGAAAGATGAAGCACACAAAAGGGGTAACTAAGAAAAAAAGAGATTGGTGGATGAAGACAGGAAAACCAGTTTGGAGGGAGGGAAGGAAGGAGGAAAACAGGGGAGATGGCAGGAAAAAGAAGAAAGGAAAGATAGACAACACTATTGGTTTATCAATAAGACAAAGTGCACTGTTCTATAATTTATTGGTTGCAAGTTACAAAAGCTACATTTGAATAAATTTAATTTATTCTGAACAGTGAACAGAAATAAAGGCACAATTGCAAGAAACAGAAACATTAGGGAATCGAATACTGTTTCTGTCTCTTGCAATTTGTGTATTGAATTATTGAATTTTTTATTGTTTATTTTTGTTTTTGCCTTCTTGCAAATGTCTCCAAGAGACCTGGCTTTGGTAAAATGCCTGTTCTGGACAAATCAATGTATCCCTATGCCCAGGAGAAGAGAACTATAGTTTGTTCTGTTTAGTCCCATATCCACTCTGTGTGTAGGTGAGAAATTTTCATATTTAAAGGGCAGATTAATCCTTCTAACAGTCAAAGTCAATCCTTACTACAGCATAGGCAATGATTGGTTCTGCATGAGAGACTCAGGGAAGTCTTGTCTAGATGTGACATCTGAGCTGGATTTTGAAGGAAGGTATAACTCAGTTTAACACAATTTGTATTGAGGGCTGATTAAATGCAAGGTACTGTGCTGAGATGCTGTGAAGCATAGAGAAGTGAATCAAATACAGTTTCTTCAATATAGGGATTTGCAATCTAATGGAGAAGATTGACACATACACATAAGCCACTGTGGAAGTTCTCTTGACATTATTAAGTTTAATCCTGAGACATACCGAGATGCCAAGCATTCTTAAAAGGCTTAGCCATTACAACATATGCAGCAATTACTTGGGACTAGTCAGCTAGATAAAGATTAGCCTATGGAGGATGGATTTAGCTGTAAATTTGCAACATATCTATGCAATAAACAGTTATTAATTACCTATCTGTCCAGGAAAATGTGAGATTCTACAGATTCTGAGGTAAAAATGTAGTTTGAGTTCATCAAAGGAGTTGTGATCTACTGAAGGATAGGGACTAATCATAATTCACTTAAATCAGTGCTTTGCAAGAGTGTTACTCAAAGAGTAGACTAAATCACATAATGTTTAGGGACCTAAACTTGTATTTTATAGAGATAGGTAATTCACAATAAAAGGCTTCCATTTCATTCTGAGCAAGATTAAAAAGCTAATGAAGATTTGAAGAAGGGTAATACAGAATACAATTATCTATCTATCTACCTACCTACCTACCTACCTACCTATCTACCTACCTGTCCATCCATTCATGCCTCTGTTCATCCATCCATCCATCCATCCATCCAGGTCTCAGTTGCATAGTGCCGTCATGCCAGGACCTTAGGACCCTTGTAAGTAGGTGCAAATGTGATCCTTGTTTGCATATCAAAAAAAAAAAAAACTGTGCACACAGTGTGCAGAGAAGTTAACACATTTGCTCCGCAATGTAAGTGGAGACCAGTTTTATTATAAACCCAGGCAGTTTAGCTCCAGAGTCCATGCTATCAAGAGAAGATGGAAAAACATCAATAAATAAATAAATAGGTCTGGATTAGGAATTTTCAGTAAAGTTTAGGAACAGATGTGATGGGAAGAACTGAGTCAGCAAGTTCACAAAACGGAAGCATGAGATCAGAGTCAGGTGTTTCAATTAAAGACTTCTGAAATAGAATATTTTTGAGTGACCAACTGGTCCAATATGTGACTCAGAAACTTGGTTCTTAGACAGGTGTCATATAACTGAGAATTAGTGTTGTATCCTGAATATTTCATTTTTAGTCAGTCATACAGGGTCATGTTTGGATGTTTATGGTGGGAAGAATTGCAGACTGCCATCCAAAAATCACATTTAATGTGTGTTTTTGATTCTAACCCTTTGTAGTTAACAGAGTACCTGAAACCCTAACACAATAACTGTATCTAACTATATCTTTGCGTCATTTCTTTTTTCTTTTTTCTTTTTTTTTTTTTTTAGGTGGAATTTCACTCTTGTTGCCCGGGCTGGAGTGCAATGGCTCAATCTCAGCTCACTGCAACCTCTGCCTCCTGGGTTCAAGTGACTTCCGAGTAGTTGGGATTACAGGCATGCACCACCACGCCTGGCTAATTTTATATTTTTAGTAGAGATGGGGTTTCACCATGTTGGTCAGGCTGGTTTCAAACCCCTGACCTCAGGTGATCTGCCCGCCTCGGCCTCTCAAAGTGCTGGGATTACAGGCGTGAACCACCATGCCCAGCTGCCTCACTTCTTTTCTTGTGACCTCTATACCAAATTCTGTTTTTAGTATATTTCGTTCTCTGCATTCCAACTGCCAGTATACTTGTTCAAATCAGTGATACATTTCACACTTAAACTACTGCAACAATCTCTTAAATTGTCTTGTTAATCTAGACTTGCCCACTTTTAATTATCTCCAGATACTGAACTAAAATAATTTCCAAGTAATTCCTTTGTTGAAAACTTCAAGAGCACTTTAACCCCAGCAAATAAAGTCTGATTTCTTCAATCGATGGAGAATGGACCTATGTGGGTCTTCTGTGGTTTGCCTTTCTTGCCTGGTCACCCTCCACTCTCAACTTTAGCACCTGTAACCATTTTGGTCTCCTCAAATTACTTTTATTTCTCACCTTCAGGATTTTGCATATGTTTTTTACTTTTATATAATACTTAAATATATGTGTGTATACACATGTAAATTATATATAAGTATATAAAACTATATATATAAAGTATATAAATATATAAAGTATACATATATATTTTACTTCTGGCTGCCTTCTAATTTAAGCCTAAGCTTATGTATCAGTTTCTTAGCTGAGCCTTCCCTTCTTCCTCTGAGATTGATCTGTAATTATTTCTATAATTATCCTTATTTGTATCCTTTGTTTATTATTGCTATGTAAATACCTTTATTTGTCATTGTTATTATCATTTATTTGTTATACTCACAGGGAAGTCTCATACATACTTTTTTTTTTTACCCAGGTTTATTGATTGCTGACATTTCATCCTATTTGTTTTATCATTTTTGTTCACTCTCCCTCTTTGTATGAGTGCATATACATGTATACACATAATCATCTATATTTTGTTCTGTACTTTATATGTACTCTTTTTTTAATTTTTTATTATACTTTAAGTTTCAGGGTACATGTGCACAATGTGCAGGTTTGTTACACATATATACATGTGCCATGTTGGTGTCCTGCACCCATTAATTCATCATTTAACATTACGTATATCTCCTAATGCTATCCCTCCCCCCTCCCCCCACCCCACAACAGGCCCCGGTGTGTGATGTTCCCCTTCCTGTGTCCAAGTGTTCTCATTGTTCAATTCCCACCTATGAGTGAGAACATGTGGTGTTTGGTTTTTTGTCCTTGCGATAGTTTGTTGAGAATGATGGCTTCCAGCTTCATCCATGTCCCTACAAAGGACATGAACTCATCCTTTTTTATGGCTATATAGTATTCCGTGGTGTATATGTGCCACATTTTCTTAATCCAGTCTATCATTGTTGGACATTTGGGTTGGTTCCAAGTCTTTGCTATTGTGAATAGTGCTGCAATAAACATATGTGTGCATGTGTCTTTATAGCAGCCTGATTTATAATCCATTGGGTATATACCCAGTAATAGGATGGCTGGGTCAAATGGTATTTCTAGTTCTAGATCCCTGAGGAATCGCCACACTGACTTCCACAATGGTTGAACTAGTTTACAGTCTAGAGGGTGTTTTGTTGCATGTATATACATAGACAATATTACACATATATACTATTAGTCCTGTTTTTTTTGAAATCCTAATACATCAGATACTCATCAAACACACACACCCACACCCACACACACACATGCACACACACAATGTCACAATGTTAGTTTCCTTAATATTTACCCCGATGTTAGTTATTTATTTTCATACAAAACTTGCCTCATATATCATTCTTTCCTTTTTTTTTCTTTTTATAAAACTCTTTCAGGATTATATTCATTCATCCTGCAAATCTGTGATTTGAAACATTGTCACTTGTCTGTGAAAAGATATTTTTATTTTGTTTCACCAGCTACAATTCACACATAGTCTGTTCATTTGAAATTGAAAAATCATACTTCCTGAAGCCTTCTCAACCTTCATGTATTTGGAAATATTTCACTTGCTGTGAAGCTGTCATTGAACTGCCACCAGATATTTTTACAGGCTTATGCATGCACATGACATGCTAAGCTCTTTAAACTGCTATAAGCACATGCTGTGTTGCTCTTCCACAGTGCTCAGTGACTGATATGCAAATAATTTTTTATATTTCTTGAATTCTTGTTATAATACAAGTTAGATGAGAAAGTATTGTTCTATTCATATTTTCTAGTTAAGATTTCCTTTTCAAGGTAAAGGTAAATAATCATCTTGGTGGTTGCTTCAACTTCTGCCATCATACCATGCTTACTCTCTTTCCCTCCACATAAAGTTCTTAGGCCCGTACAGGTAGCTTACTTTCATACACGCAAGGACATACCTGTCATCTGGGAAGCCTGGAAGCTACTAAAATTAATTTGGTTGTCTCAACCTTCTTAAGAATGGGAAATGTGAACTACAGGCATTTGAAACTATTGACAGCCAAGAAAGATTATATTCAGAATCTCTTGATTAATTTTTTATCTATGGAAACTTAATCTCTATTTCAGGCCAATTTCTATTGTAGTAACAGGCATACAGTAACTACTGTGAATACCAAAATTTACATGAAGAATAGATGTGCACTTATTTCTAAGAAAATTGTTGTAAGTTGGGTAACGAGCCTTGAGCTAAGTTTTAAAAGACGACTGAAATGAATTCACAGGAAATGGGTCGGGGGAGGTCATTGAAGACAGAAGGAGAAGGTTGCTTTAATTCAAATGTATGAAGGGAAGAGAGTAGGCTACACATAGAAAAACACACATCAAACCTTACTATTGGCAGTAAAATCAACCTTGAACTTTTTAAATCATATAAGTCCAGTGTTCAAATAAGTGTTGATTTTTGTTTTTTTCTGCACAACTTCATTATACCTGACTGTGGACAATTTGAGCCTCCTGCTTCCTTGCACTCTTGATCTTTGTGGAAAGATCCTACCAGTTGCATTCCTGGAAGAGAATAGAAAATGTTACACTTTTAATTTTTTTTTTTTTTTTTTTTTTTTTACAAAAGCCCCTCTTTAAACTCTGTATATACTACATACTCATTATGGAGTTAAAAGGATACAAGATCCCTAGTGATATTCTTATTCTCTTTCACTAAAAATTACCTTCTCAATGTTCAGTCAAGTATAATATTCTTTTGTTCATGGGTTTTGTTCACAATCAATATTTTGTGAAATAACCTATCCCCAAATCCCAACTACTTATTCCCCACAAACCTTGGCAACCAAAACTTCATATTTCCTGATTTTAACATTTTTCTCCCCAGACTCTTCACCCTCTACATTAGCCATGATTCATATGAATGCAAAGTGGCTTTAGAAATCCTAATAGAGCAAGATGGTCTCCAGCAGTTTCTATCACTCACCAAAACAGTTTATTTCATGGGTAATGATTTTATTGATATGAAGAAGTGAATGTAACTCAGATATATGCTCTAAAGTTTTGTAGCATGGTTTCATCTTAGAAAAGGAAAAAAAAATCACACATGCTAGACATTAGTTGATTTCTTATAAAGTGTGCCTATATTCACTGGGGAAAAGCAGGTTAACGAACACTCGGTTATTATACTGAACAGCAATCAATTTAATGATCTGCAGTTTCCACTGTGGTTGTCTTCATTCCCAGTTTCAAGTTGATAAAGTTTTTTCTCACAATTTTCACTTGTGCTAAATATTTTTATAAGATGACATGAGCTTCCTGATCTCCATCTCTAAAAGTGGAGTTTGAGTTAATAGATTAAAATTTTAGAAAGCCTGCATTGGCTATAAATAACAATAAATTTTATAACTTAAAATCTAATTAACTATTGTGATAGGTTATTATTATTACTATCTTTATGAAAGCATGAGGTATTTGTACTCTTTAAAAATTATTGAGGTTTGTTTTATGGCTTACCAAAAAGTCTATTCTAAAGAATATCCCATGCTATTTTAAAAATTTTAAATTTATTTAAATTTTTAATTTTTGTAGATTTATAAGTGTAAGTGCAGTTTTCTGACATGGATATATTGTGTAGTGGTGAAGTCTGGACTTTCAGTGTTGCTGTCACACACATAGTGTACGCATTAAGACACTCATCTTAATTTCTCATCCCTCAGTCTCCTCCCACTTTCCCCACTTCCAATTCTCCAGTGTCTATTATTCCACGCTCTATGCCCATGTGTATATACTATTTAGCTCCCACTTATAAGTGAGAAAATGTAGTATTTGATTTTATTGGATTTTATTTCTGAGTTATTTTACTTAAGATAATGGCCTCCAGTTCCATCCATGCTGCTGCAAATGACACCATTTTATCCCTTTTTATAGCTGAGTTGTATTCCATTGTGTGTTTGTGTGTATATATATATGTGTGTGTGTGTGTGTATATAAATATATGCACAGTATATATACTCTGTATACCCACAGTATTTATATACTGTGTGTGTGTATATATATGTACATACATAGTATATATATACTACATACATAGTATATACTTTTATTTTTTGTTGCTTTTAGTCTCATATATACTATGTATATATATACTATGTGTATATATATAATGTGTATATATATACTATGTTTATATATATAATTTGTATATATATAATGTGTATATATATACTATGTGTATATATAATGTGTATATATATACTATGTGTATATATAATGTGTATATATATACTATGTGTATATATAATGTGTATATATACTATGTATATATAATGTGTATATATATATACTATGTATATATAATGTGTATATATATACACTATGTGTATATATAATGTGTATATATACTATGTATATATAATGTGTATATATATATATACTATGTATATATAATGTGTATATATATACACTATGTATATATAATGTGTATATATATACACTATGTATATATAATGTGTATATATACTATGTATATATATACACATAGTATGTGTATATATATACACATACTATGTGTATATATATAGTATGTGTATATACATATACACATACTATATATATATACACATACTATGTGTGTATATACACACACACACACACACGCATATATATATAACACTTATACACACCACTTTTTTTTTAATCCAGTTATCAATTGATAACCACTTAGGTTAATTCCATACATGTTATTGTAAATACTGCTGCAGTAAACATGTGAATGCTGATGGGGCCTCTCACCAGGCCCCACCTCCAACACTGGACACCACATTTCAACATGAGATTTAAAGGGTACACATATTCAAATCATATCCGACTCATAGGTGCTGTGATTTTGAAATCTTTCATCTTTTTTTATGTTCCAGAGTGTTCTTTGTTATTTTATGTTTTTTTTAATGTATTATGGTAGCGTACATTTAAGCTACATTTTTTCCTAAGAAAATTTTGGATGCCGCTTCATTGTTATTTGGTATTGAATATTGCTGGAGAAAAAAAAAACCTGTGTTTTACTGCTAGTATAACACATTCTTTCTAATTTCACTGACTGTAAAGATCTCTAATCAAAGTTCAATGGCATGGGATAGAGCAACACAATTTCTTTTAATTAAATATTAAGTGTATCAAAACAACAACAACAAAATAGAGTAATGGAGCAGCACCAATACATACAAAACTCAAAACTGTTACTTTGTAAATAAGTTCTCATATTTACTAGTAATAATGTGAAAAAATTAATGTTAGAGATGCAGCCGAAGACTCCCTCTTAAGTGTGAATTGTTCTGTCATTTGTGTTTGATTTTGTTTTTTATAATTAAACTTTATCTTGAGTAAAATACCATACTTAAGTACAATTTTATATGTTCATATAGGTATTGTGTATGTGAGTTCCATCATCTATGAATTTTTCCTTATGTACATTTTGATGTTGCTTTCCTTTTTCTTTATTAAATTTTGGAAACTCTTATATAACAAGATATAATAATGCAGATTATTTGCATTTTATATATTTTTCAGGTACTATTTATTTTATTTTTGTTGCTTTAAGTCTCATTTAAACTGTATGTGTTTTTTAGTTATGTAGTCAAAATAATCAACCTTTTTTCTCTGTGGTTCAAGAGTTAGAACCGGCACATTAGAAAGAGATTCCTGTGATTTCACACTGTCTGGAGCCTCAGCTAAGATGGTTTGAAAGGTTTGAGCTCTAATTCCCAGAGCCTTCATTCACATCTGGCATTTGTACTGGATGACCCAAAGCTACATTCAGCTGAGACTGTTGAACACAGTCTTGGAAAGAGTGTGGACTTTCCTTGTGTCTTGAGCTCCCACGCATTATGGCAGGTTCTGAGAGGCAGTGTTCCAAGAAGGAGTAATCTGAGAACCAGTGTTCTAAGAGAGCCAGGAAGAAGCTGCATATCTTCTACTGACTCAGACTAGAAGTCACACATTATGGACTGAATATTTGTGTCCTCACTCCAAACTTTCAAGCATTGAAATCCTGTCCCCAATGTGATTATTTTAGGAGGAGTGGCCTTTGGGAAGTTTTTCAGCCATCAGGGTGGAGCCCACCAGAATGGGATTAGTGCTCTTATAAAACAAGGCTACAGAGAGCTTTCACACCCTGCTCTCAGCCATGTGAGGATACAAGGAAAAGATGGACAATTGCCAACCAGGAAGTGGGGCCTCACCGGACACTGGATCTGCTGGCACCTTAAACTTGGACTTCCCAGCCTCCAGATGTGTGATCTGTGACTAATACCTTTGTGTTGCTCAAGCCTGTGGTATTTGCTTATAGCAGCCCATGCTGATTAGATACCAAATATCATCACATTTTCTTGTATATAAGTAATATGACCAGCTTAAACTCAACAGAGAGGGATTCAAATTTTCCTCTTGAGGAGAGAGTGGCAAGGTTCTAGAAGAGTGTGCAGATGGGAGATACCGCTGTGGCCCCAACAGGAAAATGCATTCTTCACATGTGATCTTTTTTGTCTTAGTAGCATTTAGGGTCGCCTGAATTTTTACATGTTTATTGGTTATTTGCTTAATTTCCTTTCTCCACACAAATAAAATAAAAGCTTCACATGGGTGGGAAGGTGTATGGTTCATTTGGTTCACTGGTGCATCATCACTAGTGACTAGAAATTGGGTAGCTACAGCAGGTATTTATGCTCTGCGTGTCAGTACCTATGGGCTAGTAGAGTGTTTCCCAAACTTTTCATGTAGATGACACACACTGGTGTATAATATTATCTATCGTACTGGGGAAAAGAGAAAATGTTGTTCATAACTGGAGGTGAGTAATTCAGCGTCTTTGAGAACTGTACACCTGTCCTAAAATCCTTGATGGTGCAAGAACCCAGTTCTCCACATCTGTCACTCATTCTCTTGATTTCTAGAAATATGAGAAAAATGAGAATATAAAATTCTCAATTGTTGCCTCTATCCTACTGTCTCTAAATTATACCCTTCAAGGAGTCCTTTTAGATTCACGGTATGATGTATAATTCTTTTTTTCACAAAATTCTCTTTGAACTTCTCTTTCTTATTTCCTATCTTGTTATTTCTGTATGTTGCATTAGGAATGATTTAATTAAATATCTCTTTAGCGATCTCTCATCTACTGTACATTTCTACGTGGAGATATTTTAAAAATTAGTGGTATATTTTTAATGCTAGAAAATGCACTTTTTTTCCCTCAAAGACAGCCTGGTCCTTGCCTTAAAGTATATATCTTGCCATACACAATACATTCTTCCTGGAATTTTTATTTAAATACTGAAAACTGATTTTTTAAAAAAATTAACAACTTTGGAGAGTAAATTTAACAGTTTATTGCATCTTTGATTCTCAACATAGACAAATACTTTTGTTCTTTAATATTATAGTAAATTATTTCTTAGTAATAATTATTTTGTTATTGTAGCAATGCAAATCTCATGGTCTAGAGTAATTGTGTGTTGTAGTTTTCTGGTTGACTATAGGTAGAATCTACTATGTTCATATAAATATATAAAATTGTATATATGTATATACATACATAGCTCATGCATGCATGCACTTTTTTTTATTCTTTCAACATTCAAGAATGATTTCTGTGTCCCTTTCCTAGTATATTCTGGCCTCACTAAGTAGTGTGATTTGGCACCACCACAAGCATTTTGGAATTACGTTATAATGCTGAAAATGTCCTATAAGACAATGTTAAACTGCTGGGGGCCTTTCCTACTGCTACCCAGTCCTTTGACTGGATATTTTCCTGTTAAGTTTTGTATTGATAGGAAAGCACATCAGTGGACCCAGTTACATATTGAAGGGGTCCAGAATACACCACTGCGGCCAAAATAAAAATAAAGAATGATTTCAAATAGAAGGCATTTGAGTTCCTGAAATCTCTCATCTGCCCAAAAGCAGAGCCTTCCAGAAGAATGAAAAGAACACAATTATGATAAATTTCCTCCCAAAAGCAACCAGGCAAGATTGACTGTTACTGGAGATGAGAAGTTTCTACACCACCTGAAACCTACATTGCCACAGAACTATCTTATCTCCCCTCTGTTCTCCTAAGGGCTTATTTATCTTCCCAAATAGTCATTTGTTTTCTCTTAAGTACCATTCTCTCCAACCTCTTGCCCTATTAAGATGGTATATAAACCACAAATCTAACTATTCCTATGAGTCATATATTTTTCTGTGAATTTTCGTTCAAATATAATTACACGTATTTGTTTTTCTAATCTATCTTTTGCCAGTTTAATTCACAGGTCTTCAATCACAGAACCTAGGAGGGGTGAGAAAAAAGTATTTCTTCTCTGAAAGTATGACTATATTTCTGACTTTCTAGCTAGTTAGGATAAGAGGACCTATCACTCTTTTTCTTTCAATCTTTAAACCTCTGTTCTTCAGCTTCTTAGGCTTATACCAATTGCATAAAACCATTAGGACAGGCTCTTAGCTTTAATTAATTTTATTACATGATGCTTGAGTTTTCTCCAATGTGTGTGCAATGCAAAATTTTTCCTTTCTTGTTTCCAAGACAAAATATGTATATAAAACTTGATTTGTGGGCAGGCGCGATAGTTCACGCCTGTAATCCCAGCACTCTGGGAGGCTGAGGCAGGCAGATCACTTGATGTCAGGAGTTCAAGACCAGCCTGGCCAACATGGTGAAACCCCATCTCTACTAAAAATACAAAAATTAGCTGGGCATGGTGGCACATGCCTGTAATCCCAGCTACTCAGGAGGCTGAGGCTGGAGAATCAGTTGAGCCCAGGAGACGGAGGTTGTGGTGAGCAGAGATCACGTCATTGCACTCCAGTCTGGGCGATAGAGTGAAATTCCATCTCAAATAATAATAATAATTATAATAATAATAATAATAAGAAGAAGAAGAAGAAGAAGAAGAAGAAATAAAACTTCATTTGTTTTCACAGTTTTTCCAGGACTGCAAATCATTTCATTAGAAAGACAGGAATTGGGGATCAAGTCAAATGATAATATTAGTTGGAAAACTTCACTATTATGTTATGTCTTTTTTTCTGTTTTATTTGCAGTACCACAGTTATATGTATATTTTATTATCTGTGTAGCCTATCTTCATTATCCTCTTTATTTAATTATTTTAACATTATTTCCGATAATCTCAAGATTGTTTTCACAATGTGTATTTATTTTTCTGCCAATGTATTCAATTTATAACTGAATATTATTTTAGCTTACATTCAAGTTATTTTATCCTTATTGTTTTATTTGATATCTTTGAAATCTTGTGTTTTATCTCAACATGTTATATTGTCAAAGGTTATATACTGAGTTTTCACATCAGTAAATTTATTCTTATATCACTTTATATTGTTATATATGAATTATAGATTTGTTTGCATTCCCATGGGTTATAATTATTTTGGTCTTGTTTTTCTATTACACCTAAGTTTCTTCAAATTTTTCTACTTCCTGTCTTGACTTTTTCTAGTCACCGTTCTAGGGCTGAACATGAGCAGCTATGACCAAATTTCTCTTTTCTCTGACATAATGAGCAAGAAATTTCCTTGAAACTTCCCACCTTATATGAGTCATATTTGTCTTTAGCATGAAAATCAGTTTGTTTTTTCGATATTTTTAACCACATATGTTAGGCCTGAGCACGAGAAGGTAGGCTGCCCTTCTGGGGTTATCTCTAATTAAACATGTCTGTCTTAGTCCCATGAGCATGTCCTTAAATGCAGAAAGTCGCCCCGAAGGCTGTGAAGTTGTAGAAATGATAAACCCTAGTAGTTATCTGAAGAATATTATGACATTACATATGAGCTTCTACCATTGATGTGTACTCCCAGAGTACGATGCTATTTCTATTTGCAAGTGGAAAAACCTAACTCTGCACAGTGCTTTTTAAAGAGCTTTGTTCTGGGCCAATATGAGTGACTGTAGCCTAGGGAAGCAGTCTCAAGGAGTACTGAGAAAGGGCAGCTGAGGCAGTCAGATCACAGTTTAGATTTATACATTTCAGGGAGGAAAAATTTACAGGCGAAAGCATAAACCAATGTACGAAACATAAACACTGGTTAGCCCCAACAAAGCAGGATACCTTGAAGTGGGTTCTTACAAGTCATAGGGGGATTTGAACATTCTTTAATTTGCAGTTAGTCAAAGGAGTTTCTGTCTAAACTTGAAGCCAGTAGAAAGAAATGTTTTATGTTAACAGAAGGATGCTATGTAGCAAGATTGATGGCCTGACCATAGGTCATCAATGGCCTTAGGTCTTTGTTTATAATTTAATATCTTATTTTCACAAAGACTCTGTTTTGTTAATCTCATTATATATATTTATACACACACATATATGTACATATAGTGTATATATATACACACACGCACATATATATACATATACATATATATGCATGTGTTATATATATATACACACACACACAGACATATATATTATATATGTATTTTTTTTTTATTAAATCTGGTCAGTTGCTGTTCCTTCAACTCCCAAAGGGAGGGGATATAATGAGTCATGAGGCTTGTCCAGCTTCCCTATCACGGCCAGAAACTCAGTTTTTAAGGTTTCTCTGGAGCCCCGTTGGCCAAGAGAAAATTACTCAGTTGGTATGGGGTTTAGGACTTTATTTTCAGTTTTCACATCTAATCCCGTCTCCTCATTACTCTCAAAATATTTGGCTCTTCTTGAAATGGCTCAGAATTTCCTAAACTCCTCTTTATTTGTTTTCTCCACTATTGTTTTCTGAATCATTTTGAAGTGCCTTAAGAGTGTTATTTATTTAGCCAAAAGTGCCACTTTAATCTAAGTCACTGTCATAATATTCTCTTTCCATGTTTTCTTTTAGTTAGTAAGTCATTTGCTGGAGATTTTATTTTTATTTTTTGAATTGGTAAAAAATTTGTTGATTGACCTCTTTACTGCTAGACACCTGACTTCTCAAAAGTCAGAATGTGTTTTTAAATTACATTCACTAGGGACTCCAAAGCTATATCGCTATTTCACCTTGCCAAGAGGCTCATTGTAGGGTCACTAACAAAATAAAATAACTAATATACAAATGTACTCAATTATCTTCCACATGAAATCATTTTATTAGTATTATTATTAATTAATTTATTTTTTTGAGACGGAGTCTCGCTCTGTCGCCCAGGCTGGAGTGCAGTGGCGCGATCTTGGCTCACTGCAAGCTCCGCCTCCCAGGTTCACGCCATTCTGCCTCGGCCTCCTGAGTAGCTGGGACTACAGGTAGACGCCACAACGCCCGGCTAATTTTTTGTATTTTTTAGTGGAGACGGGGTTTCACCATATTAGCCAGGATGGTCTCGATCTCCTGACCTCGTGATCCGCCCGCCTTGGCCTCCCAAAGTGCTGGGATTACAGGCATGAGCCACAGCGCCTGGACCACATGAAATCATTTTTATTCGAAGTCATCAATCACACCATATATTAAGTAAGTTAATGCCAAAATCTTTTCCATCCTCTGGACATGTATACATGTATGTGCAGTAAATCTGGTGAATAAAAGGCTCATATATATATATATGTGTGTATTTTAATTAAATAAATAAAACATATCAAATAAATATATTAAATATATTTGTACATATTTCAAATTATTTCATCAATCTTATATGATACTTTTAACCACAATTAATGACTTTTTTACTACTTATTATAATTGATGAACATGATAATGATTCTAAAGCTTTGATATCTGCAGAGGCATATTTTCGATCAGTAAAATAAGCTGATTGTTCAATACTGATCTTTTATAGATGTTAGTGTACATATATGAAAAATTTCAAATAACTGAAATATTTGATAATCAAGAACATATCATCCACAATACTTAATAAAAAGAAAGTAAATTATCTTTACAGATGATTGGCATGTTTCTGGAAATAAATAACGATTCATTAGCAAAACATATTTTACATCAGTTGGATATAACAAATAAAAAGACTAGAAATATACCATTCAACATTTTCATGTAAAACAAGGTTAATTTTAGTTCATCTTCTGTAGTGTGACTTTTATTTGAAATAAACTTGGAAATTTCACTTATTATAGAGTGCCAACTATAGTAACAAAATCAAAACACATTTTAAAACAGCAATTAGAAATATTTGTTCATTTGTTGTCCCCATTAAAATTCTAAATAAAATTAATAAATGTGGTTATTTGCTCTTTTTTTTTTTGAGACAGAGTCTCACTCAGTCACCCAGGCTGGAGTGCAGTGGCACCATCTCCACTCACTGCAACCTCCGCCTCCCGGGTTCAAGCGATTCTCCTGCCTCAGCCTCCTGAGTAGCTGGGATTACAGGTGCCCACTACCACTCCCAGCTAATTTTTGTATTTTTAGTAGAAATGGGGTTTCACCATGTTGGTCAGGCTGGTCTTGAACTCCTGAGCTCGTGATCTGCCCACCTCGGCCTCCCAAAGTGCTGGGATTACAGGAGTGAACCATCGTGCCTGGCCTGTTTTTTGCTTTTTAAAATAAATTGTCATTGAAATACATTGAAGGAATTTAAATAAAAATAGTATTTTAAGTATTTTTTAAAATATGGTAAAGTTTGGACCAGATTACATAAAACATGCACTCTCTTGAAGTTTGATTTAGTCCCTGAACTGTTTGCTCTTCACCCACTAGAGTTCCTTGTAACATCCACCTACAAAAATACTCATGAGTTGTTTTCTTAAAAATGTCTAAACTACCTTTTTCTGAACACTATGACTTCTTCCCATCATTACTGAACAGTTATATTTTGCTTCACTTTCAAGTAAATTTTTTTACACAATATCTACTTCCACAATTATCACTGTTCGAATTCATTTTATTTTTGTTATTCTTTTGAATGTGCTTTAACAATGATTTATAGGTATATACATAATTTTAGACTTTATATATACTCATGCATATGTATTTGTGCACGTGTCAGCTATGGTATTGTCAAACTATATTTTTTCACTTAAATTACTACTTGCACTTATGAATTTACTAAATGAGTTAGTTTTAGGTGGGGCTTTATTCTCAATGTTCATAGCTGCATCACCTGTGAAATTTCAAAAAAAAATAAAGAATTCTCTCAAACCCTATTTAACCTATGTTCAAATTATGCACTAAGATTGTTCTGTATTATAATTATTTTTAAAAGATAGTCTTTTTATCACTTTTAACCATTTAATTTTGAAATAGTTCTAGGCATATAGGAGATTGTAAAGATCATGCAAAGAAGTTTTATTCATGCTTTATATAATTTTCGCCATTGGTTACGATTCATATACAGATAAAATAATGTCAAACCAGAAACATGCCATTAGTTTAAAATGTTTATGTAGTTCCGTGTCACCTATCACATGTATAAGTTCATTTTACCAACAGAGCAATCAGAATATAGAACTACCTCATCACCACAAAGATCTTCTTTATGCTACCCCTTTGTAATAACAGCCATCCTCCCTGTCCCTCTCTTTTGGCACCCACTAAATAGATTTTATAGCTCTATTATTTTTTCCAAATTTAGGGAGTGCTATATGAATTGAGTAACACATGCCTTTCAAGATGAGGTTTTTTTTTTTTTTCTCAGCAAGATGTCCTTTTTTGTGCCAATTATATTTTAAACTAGAAGTTACTTGGGGAAAGGCTTCCTTTAAAAATATTACAAATAATAGACTCCAAGGATATTCAAGATGGTACATTGGACCAAGAGAAGAAAAGCAAAGAAATACACATGTGGTTTAAAGATAAGAGAAGAGGCTGGGTGCAGTGGCTTACACCTGTAATCCCAGCATTTTGAGAGGCCAACAGGGGCAGACCACCTGAGGTCAAGAGTTTGAGACCAGCCTGGCCAACCTGGTGAAACCTCATCTCTACTAAACATACAAAAATTAGCCGGATGTGGTGGTGTGTGCCTGTAGGCCAAAATACTCGGGAGGCTGAGGCAGGAGAATCGCTTGAACCTGGGAGGCAGAGGTTTCAGTGAGCCAGGATTGCACCACTGCACTCCAGCCTAGGTGACAGAGCAAGAATATGTCTCAAAAATAAATAAATAAATAAAAATAAGAGGAGAATAATCCAATTATCTAATAAAAATTAATAATGGACTTTGTTTATTTTATAAAATAACAATATTAAAAATAATTTAATGATGCACAACAGCTTAATATAGAAAGGTAAGTTCATACAGATATATCAATGTTTCATAAATAACGTGTATATACATACACACAATTTTTCAGTGACTTAGTGTTAGAACTAATACATTCTATCGACCTTTTTTTTAATCCTAGCTTTTAATCACAAATGACTGTTGAAAAAGTAGAAATAAGCTTGCCAGCATTATGAAATTTGGCAAGTAGGCTTATTTTCTGACAAATTTATTTCAGAATGATGGTGCCAAGGATAGGTATCAGTCAGGCCTGATGCCCTGGCAGACTAATCAGAAAGACTCTGCCATTTTCCACGTTTGTAGTTTATTTCATGCCCCAAAGCCTGACTTTCATACTTTAAAGAAAATCTTATTGGGTTTAATACTCTCAGCGAGTTAGCGGTGTTATTCAGAAACTCTGCCATGCAATTTCACAGTAGGAAAATTGGTGAGGGGTCACTAGGATAGTCATAACTGTTTCATCCAAAATGTTTCTACCCTGTTTTTGCTTTCTTAGAAATCTCAGTGTATGAGACAATTTGAAAGTATAATAGCATAATTAAAACCATTTCATATTTTAATATGATGGTAATTTAGTCAGTGTAATTTTTTAAAGGCAAATGTTCTCATGCTTATTAACAGAAAAAGTTAACGTTCACTCTAGGTAAGACTTCAGCAGGATATGCAATTTCTTTTACAGTTTTCTGCAGCTTACATTCCTATGTTGCAGAGGTGCTGAGATATCAGAAAGAAATGTAATGTAAATATAAATTTAAAATGTAGGTATACTGCTAAGCTTCTCTGCATTTCAAAAGCAAGGGCTATGTTTTAAAATGATGTCTCTTTTTTTAAAGTATTTTTAAAAATTAATAAAACATAAGATTCATAAGTATACTTTTATAAAAATAATAAAAAGAACATCAGTATGCTCAATCCATTGTAAGACATGTCATCTATACCCTAGATTGCCTTTTTGAAATCTGTAAACGTAGTCCTTTCTCCAACAAAGTGGCAAACAGTATACCCCGTTTGATATTGATCATTCTTTTACATTTTGAAAAAGTATACCAACGTCTATCTTTGCATCCATAAACTACCAAACTGTTTAGATTAGCTGTTATTTGTGAAGATTTTATGAGAATGTAGGTTAAAATTTACATGCCAATAGTCTAAATAATTTCATATAGTTTTATTAATCAGTGTTTTCAATTACATGTGTGGTTGATGAACAGAGATTTTCCTAAACAAAATAAACAAGTATTACTTACCTTAAACATAAACTGCGCACATTTTAATCTGTGTTTTCATGTGACGTTATAAACACTATAATGAAACATATACATTCTGACATATAGCTACTAGAGCAGTTATTAATTCATTACTTAAAAATTGTCAGTTCCTTAAGTTCCAAAACATGGTTCATGCAGTGTGTTTTTATGCTTCTAGATGAGACCTATTCAGCTAGTATTAGCATGTACCTTATTCTCTTTTACATGCTTTATTTACATTAAAACACTTAATTATGAAAGAAAAAAATTACCCATGAGATACTTGATATTTTGCCCACATTTTTCAAGTAAGAAAACTCAGAGTTTCTCTAACTTGCTTCAGGTCAATTAAATTGAGATTCCAACCTGAGGACACTGGTACAAACCCTATGCCAGAGATTCTAAAATGTTTTTGGTTCATGAAGCTCTGAATGTGTTGCTACTTTTTAAAATATCTATGAGTTTCTATTTTTAACTACATAGTAAGTCCAAAATCCTTAACGAGTATTTATGTCTTAACAATTTAAGAGTCATGTGAAATAACAAACATGTCATTTGAAAAAAAAAAACATAATTTTATTTTTTGTCTTTAATAACCACATTTACTTATGGGATGCGTGCCCCCATCAGGGCCGAATGACTTGAAATTCTATTGACTATCCTGATTTACAGTTCTCCACTGATTTTCATGCAGTACTTGCCTTTTATTATTGCAACTACCAAAACTCAACCTCACAAATATGGCGTCAACAAAAGAAGGTAGGATAATCAAATATTATAATTGTGAACTCAAACTAGTATTTTGTGTGTCACCTGATGTTGAACGTCCTTTTGTTTCTGTCAAAAATGTAAAATATTCTGCAGAGTTATGTATGGTGCCGTGTTGCCTTACCACACAGTTTAGGAATGGTTTCCTTATGTTCATTAGCCTCCTGTCATCCTGGGCAGAAGCTCAGTGCACATTTAAGAAGCTATTCTAATGAGTGTGTCAAACAACTCTATGGCTTTAAACAATGTCCTAAACTTCACTGAGACTCCATTACTTAAATGGTGGTGAGGAATAATAAAAGCCATAGTTGATTCAACAAATTCATGTATTTAAATTGCTAACTGTCTGACAAACACATGATAGGCAAATGATACTTGTTGTCCTTCTTATTCATACAACTTTCCTAATTTTCCTTTCCACATTCTGAAGTGCATTTGATCTAAACGACTCTGTGTAATTCAGGGTAAAAATTTTTTCTGGAAATTTCAATCTAGTATCACCTAATAGGGTGATGTATTCACAAAAAGAAAGTCACATTTTGTGCAAAGGTGCTGCCAGTTTTCATTTTATTTTATTTTTTTAGAGCTGGTTTTCTCACTCGAATGGGAAAAGAGAGAATGGGAAGAAGAGGTTAAAATTTAAAAAGCACAGAGATTGTAAACTGGAAGCTCTGGAAATTTACTTTTATTCATTTCACAAATATGTCTCAATTGAAATGATAAGTTACTTACACTGTTTGAAATACCTGTGCTTAGACACAACCAAGTTTTTTTTTAATCACTAAGTGCTACTTTTAAGCATGTTTTTAAGCTGTCTACATTAAATTTTACATAGCACATTGAACATAAAATTTAAATAAATATCTTGTTAAATGTACAATCCCACTAGGACAAATCCACTTCCTTTTATGCAGGCCAAGACCTTGAGGAAAACTGTATAAGCAAAATGGATATTATCCACACTCCACCGCCTCTAAGTCTGCTTTGTTCCAAAAAGCCAATATCTGTACTTCGATTACCTCAAGTTCAACTCTTTGCGGATCTAGTCAATTTATTTGGCCTTGTGATGGTCAAGGCTGTAGTGTGTAATTTTATTGGGAATGGTCAGCATGCGAACATAAATCAAATCAATTTTATAGAATCAGTTTTAGTATATGACCTTCATATGGCATTTCTTTCTCTTCTACTTATAAGTTTTCACTACTCTCTTTACCCAGTCAGTAGGATAATAAAGATTATTTTCTCTTAATTCATGTAATATGATTAGAAATACTTTAAATAAAAGGGGGATATATATTTAGGCTTCTGATTAAATCATTTTTATTCAGAGATAATGTATTTAACATTAATTTGATAAACTTGATTTGAAATTTTTCTTAATTTATTACTAAACAGATGTATTAAAGTTTAAGTTAAAAATACAACTTAAAATATATTTTCATAATGGTATGATTGTTTATTCATATTTGATATAGTAGAAAAGCTATAAAATGTCTACAGGTACACAAATGATGATTAAAAATAAGAAGAAAAAACTTTTAAAGAAAATAATTACTATTAAATGTGGATGGTGCTGTGTCACAGACTATTTGTTGACCCTAAAGGATATTAATAGATACATAATTGATTTTAATATAAATATAAATATATTTTTCTCTGAAAGTGCTTTTGAATCTTATAAACTATTTACAACATTATGGTATTGCTTTGATCACAGAAGTGTCATTAACAATTGGACTACATTAAATCTAGAGCAATGTATCTATTAAATAACCATAGTAGAGTAAGATACATACTCTTTAAGAGTAATTATATCTCTTTTGATAAAAATTGGAAATAACATTTCATTGATTTATTTAATCCCACAAATGATTATCTTAATTTTTTTGTTAAGTTGTTCTTCCTTTGAAGATTAGTAAATCATTTTTCAAATATGAGACACAATTCTTTTCCTTATATGCATTTGCACTCATTGATTCTGGTGATCTGTGGTTAAATGATTCTATTATTTGAATAACAGTTTCATAAACAGTATAATTTTAAGTAGAACTTGAAATTGGATTAAAACCTTGATGGAATAAAAACACACATGGTAATTTGAGTAATATAAAAGCTTTGTTCAAATGCTGAATCCATTCTGCTGTTAATTTACAGACTCTTGATGTACATATCCAGAATAATAAGACGCACTCTGCCAGATTGTTCTATGGAGTAAATGACAACACATATAGAGGTTTTAGTGTATGGTAATTCTCCAAAATATATTTTTCTTTCTAACTGAAAACAATAATATTTGAGAAATATTTAAAATAAATATGTATCAGAGGCCAGGCACCGTGACACCCAGCACTTTGGGAGGCCGAGGTGGGTGGATCACTTGATCATTTGTGGTCAGGAGTTCAAGACCAGCCTGGCCAACATGGTGAAACCTTGTCTCTACTTAAAAAGAAAAAAAGAAAAAAAAAGAAAGAAAAATTAGGTGTGATGGCGATCGCCTGTATTCCCGGCTACAGAGGATGCTGGGGCACGAGAATTGCTTGAACCTGGGAGGTGGAGGTTGCAGTGAGCCAAGGTTGCACCACTGCACTCCAGCCTGGGCTATAGAGTGAGACTCTGTCTCAAAAATACACAAACAAACAAACAATAAATAAATAAAAATAAAATATACATCAAAAACCTTACATTAAATTTTGTAAAATATATCTACTATGGATAATTTGTATGAATTAGTTGAATAGTATGAACAACACTTGAATTACTATTTCCTAAATTTAAAATATTTTTTAAACAGGAATAAAGGATTGCTGATGGTTGAAGACAAAACTAGTACCTAGGTCTCCATTTGTCGTATTTCCTGTAAAAGTAATACTGAAAATAAAACACCTGAAAACCATCTTTTAGCATAACGTGAGGGCAGAGAATTCCTGACATTACATAATTACATATGTATTTTTTACATGTATATTATTTTTACATATATATGCATATATACATATATACATATACATATACACATATACACATATTTACATATATACACATATATACATATACATATATTTACATATATACACATATTTACATATATGCACATATATTTACATATATACACATATATATTTACATATATATACACACACATATATTTACACACACACACACACACACAGAAAAAAACACCAAGTCACATCATGGATAGACTCACATTCCTCCACCAACTCCACCCCAGGGAAGGGCAAGGGGCCAGCAATGACAAGCCTAGAAAGACTGAATGAAACAGAAAGAGACGGAACAATGGATCCTAAGAGTGATCTAAAGTTGTTTCCAGAAGAACTAAATACATTAATGTTGTAGTCTGAAATACTAATTACATCTGGTGGTTGAGTGCATAGAAAAAATATGTCCCCATGGAAGGCACCAAAAAATGTAAACAATTTGAAAAAACTGTCATTAAAACTCACACTAGGGGAAATATTTAAAGTAGGAAGGGAAAACACTAATTGGCAATTAAATGATACGAAGAGAAAGGCATAACAGTGAAAATTTAACATCCTGCACATTATAAGAGACCTAAAACATCTGAAAGCACACAGCTCCTCTTTTAATTATGAAAGCAAACAAAACCAAAAGAAACACTGAATATCTGACTTTACTATATTCATAGCTGAGGACACTCAAATTAAGGCGCTATAAGTGACAGAGCAGGAACAACATCATCTCGAATGAACGCTGCCACTTTAAGTTCCAGTGCCCTTTTTAGCCTCGTGCATTTCAAGAAAATCACTTCTCTTCTCTAGCTACAAGCAGCCAGAAAAACCAGACAGTAAAACACAGATAAAACAGTTCGAGCACAGAAGAAGGTGGGGAAAAAGTCTCTTGGGTAACTGCAAAACTTCACCCTTCTACAATGGGCCCCAGTAAAACAGTGGGCCTTAATAAGCACATTCCTTTCCCTTCAGGTGCACTAAAATAGGGAAGCTAAAAGCAGGCTTGGGCGTATGCCTGCAGCGGCAGAAAAATGTATAGGAACAAACACACAACTCTCTCTCCCAAATAAGCACAACAAAGAAACACAGAAGCAGTCCAAGCCTTTAATAAACTCTCCCACCCTAAATCCTTAAAAACTCTTAGTCTGTAAGAGAGTGTGCCTCTAACCTAACACAGACAAACACCCCTCTCAGGTTTGTTTTCTCTAAAATAAACCTGTCTTAACCATCAAGCCACCTTTCATGTTTCTTTCCTCTTTCTTTAATTCTTACGATAAGCACCTCAATAACACAAACATGAACAACATTAATAGAAGTATTGCAAAAATCAGAAAACAAAATTCAACAAATATCAATTGAGTTAAACTTTCCCCAGAAAAACAAACATAAAGCCCCTTGATGTACTCATTCCAAATGGGTTTAAGTATACTCAAGCAAATAATTGGATATTTTAAAGTTGTGTTAAAAAAGAAATTAAAAATAACTAAGAACACAACAGATAACATGTAAGAAAAAGGTAACTGGATGGGTGCATGGCTCATGCCTGTAATCCTAGCACTTTGGGAGGCCAAGATGAGTGGATCACCTGCGGTTAGGAGTTCGATACCAACCTGGCCAACATGGTGAAACCCCATCTGTACTAAAAATACAAAAAATTAGCCAGGCGTGGTGGCTCATGCCTGTAATCCCATCTACTTAGGAGGCTGGGGCAGGAGAATCACTTGAACACAGGAGATGTAGGTTGCAGTGAGCCAAGATCACACCATTCCACTCCAGCCTGGGCAACAAGAACGGAAACTCCATCTCAAAAAAAAAAAAAAAAAAAAGGAAAGAAAAAGGAAACTGATTAACTGAAGGGAAGAAGTGTAAGAATACAATATTTTGTAAAAGTTAAGAATGCAATACAGGTACTCAAAAAATAGACAAAAAAATTCTAATAAGGAACATTGAAAAAGAAGAGAAAAGAAAGGAATTAAACAATATAAATAAAGAAGTAAAATGGTTCAGAACAAAAAGTAAGGCAAGTAGACAATACACAAAGAATTGCATATGCATTATTGGATTTTCTGAAAAAGAAAGATAAAACAATGACACAATTAATATTTAAACCTATACTCTAAAAACACTTAAAAATTAGTAAAAACCTGAGTATATATATTAAAACATTCTACTGGGTGCCTAGGAAAATTAAGCACAACAATCAATTTCAAGATATTTTCTAGTACAACTGTTAGATTTTTAAGATAAAGAAACAATTTTCAAGGCTCAGGCACAGTGATTTGAAAACTCACGAACACAAAATTGCTTCTGTCATCAGGCTTTTCAAAAACCACAGAAAAACAAGGAACACGCAAATGCATCAACACTGTTTCTTGAAACTCAATGAAAGAAGGTATAAATATTTTATATCCAGTGCACTTATTATTCAAGTATCAAGTTTATAAAACAATCACTTTATGGATGTAAAAATGTAAGAAATGATTCTGTATCCATGAGGACATTTTCAGGAATCTGCCATTTATTTGTCAGCATTGTGTGCCTAAAGTTACTCCAAAGTAAAAAATTTAAAATGAGAAAGTAGTTTCAGAAAAATGTTTGAAGAAATAACTCTAGGAACCAACAAACATGTTTTGAATGTAATACTCTGTTAATTAGTAACATCAAGGGTAGTGGTGCTTATTGTTAACCATGATTATGCAAGTTAGAAATGCTGTAAAGAAATACCTGAGACTGAGGAATTTATAAAGAAAAGAAATTTAATTGGCTCAAGGTTGTGTAGGCTTCACAAGAAGCATCATAGTGGCAACAGCTTAGCTTCTAGGCAAGCCTCAGGAAATTTCCAGTCATAGTGGAAGATGGAGGAGAAGCAGACACATAAAAGAAAGATAAAGTTGGGGGAGGTGCCACAAACTTATAAATGAAGGGATCTGTAAATTCAGAGTGGGAACTCACTTACCACTAAAGAGATGGTCCAAGCCATTATGAGAGATCTGCCTCCATTCCAACAGCTCCCCCAGGCCTCAACTCACACATTGGAGATTACATACTCATATGAGATTTGGGCAAGGACGTATAAACTAACTATATCACTCCACCCCTGGCATCTTCCAAATGATTGTCCTTCTCATATTTCTAAATAGAATCATGACATCTCAATAGTATCCCAAAGTCTTACCTCATTTGAGAATTAACTCAAAAGCCTCAAGTCCAAAATCCAAAGTCTCATCTGAAAATGAGTTCCTTCCACCTAATGAGCCTATAAAATCAAAACAATTCATTTACTTCTAAGATGCAATGGGGGTGCATAAATTGGGTAAACATTCCAGATCCAAAAGGAATAACTGGACAAAAGAAAGGGGCTACAGGCTTCACACAAGTCGGAAATTCAGCATGACAGTCATTACATCTTAAAACTCCAAAATAGATTCCTTTGACTCCATATCCCACATCCAGGGCACACTGATGCAAGGGGTGAACCTCCAAGGCTCTGAGAAGCTCTGCCTGTCTGCCCCTGTTGAGGCAGGAGAATAAGGTGTGGAGGCAAGGAACATAAACCGATTTATGCTGACTTCCTAGAACTAAATCAAATGGAAGCACTTCAGCTATGACAGAAAATATCCTCTCCATTTACATAGGGCATACACCATGTAAATGACTTTGTAACTTAATCTTCTTCATTCACATAGAGCATACACTAAGTAACCAGGTGAAACCTCTAGAGTGTATTTAGACACCAGAAAATTCTGTAACAGAGCTCTTGGGCCCCTATGCTTGGGCCCACTTCCACACTGTGGAGTGTACTTTCATTTTCAGTAAGTCTCTGCTTTTGTTGCTTCATTCTTTACTGACTTTGTTTGTGAATTTTGTCCAATTCTTTATTCAGGATGCCAAGAACCTGCACACCCTCCAATGGTAACACTGTGGCATTGCAGAATTCAGCCACCATGGCTATTCTCGTAAGTTCTTGAGTTCCTGGAGCTTTCCCAGGTGCAGGGTAGAAGCTGCTGGTGGATTTAACATTCTGGGGTCTGGAGGCCAGTGGCCCCCTTTCCACAGCTCCAGTAGGCAGTGCCTAACTAGGGACTTCAGGCCCTCCAACCCCACATTTCCCCTCTGCACTTCCCTAGTAGAGGTCCTCTATAGGGGCTCTTTCCCTACAGGAGCCTTCTGCCTGGACATCCAGGCTTTTTTACACATCCGCTGAAGTCTAGGCAGAAGGTGTCAAGCCTAATTCACTCTTGCATTCCGTGCACCCACAGTCTTAGCACCATGTGAAACCACACAAGGCTTATAGCTTGCACACCCTGGACCTATGGCCTGAGCTATACCTAAGCCCCACTGAGCTGAGGCTGGAACAAGATCATCTATGATGCAAAAGCAATGTTCTGAGGCTGTGCAGGGAAGTGAGGCCCTGGACGTGGCCTATGAAACCATTCTTCCCTCCTAGGCCTCTGGGCCTGTGATGGGAGGGGCTGCCACAAAGGTCTCTGAAATGCCTTCAAGACTTTTTCCTGATTGTGTTAGATAGCAGCATCTGCCACCCTTTTAGTTATACAAATTCCTCTCACAATAAATTGCTCCACAACCTGCTTGAATTCCTCTCCTGAAAAAGCTTTATTTCGCTGCCACATGGCCAGGCTTCACATTTTCTAAACTTTTGTGTTCTACTTTTCTTTTTTAATATAAGTTCCAACTTTAAGTCATCACTCTGTTCCCACATCTGAGTCTAGGTTGTTAGAAGCAGCCAGGTCACTTGGCTGCATAGAAATTTCTTCTGCCAGATACACTAAATTATCACTCTTTAGTTCAAACTTCCTCAGACCCTAGGATATAAACAGAATGCAGCTAAACTCATTGCTAAGACATAACTCAAGTGACCTTTGCTCCAATTCCCAATGAGTTCCTAATTTCCTTCTCAGACCTTAGCAGACTGGACTTCACTGTCCATATTACTATCAACAGTTTGGGCACAATCATTTATCAGTCTCTAAGAAATTCCAAACTTGTCTTCATCTTCCTGTCTTCTTTGAGCCCTCCAAACTTGTCCAACTTCTGCCTGTTACGTGGATCCCAAGCTGCTTCCACATTTTCAGGGATCTTCATAGCAGTGTGCCAATAATCAGTACTAATTTTCTGTATTAAGCCATTGTTGCATTACTATAAGTAAATAGCTGACACTGGGTTATATATAGAGAAAAGAGATTTAATTGAATCATGGTTGTACATGTTTTAGAGAAACCATGGTCGTGGCATCCTTCTAAGGAGGCCTCAGGAAGATTGTTATCATAGCAGAAGATGAAGAAGGAAAATCACATGCACATGGAAAAAGAAGGAGTAAGTGAGAGAGAGTCGGGAAGGGAGAGAGAGAGTAGTGGGGGAGGTGCCACACATTCTTAAATCACCAGAACTCATGTGAACTCAGAACAAGAGCTCACTTATCATCAAGGAGATGGCCTAAGCCATTAATGAGGAATCTGCCCCCATAATCCAAATACTTCCCATGAATACCCACTTCCAACACTGAGGAATAACATTTCAATGTAAAATTTGAGCGGGGGCAAATATGCAGTATATCACTGACAAACATCTGCAAGCATCAGAACAAGTGAGGAAAACATGACCTCACCAAATGAACTAAATAGTCACCAGGGACCAATCTTGGGAGCAGCAGAGATACGTAAACTTTTAGACAGAGAAATCAAAATAGCTATGTTGAGGAATCTCAAAGAAATTCAAGATAACACACAGAGAGAATTCAGAATTCTAACAGAAAAATTTAACAAAAAGAATAAAATAATTAAAAGAATCAAGCAGAAATTCTGCAGCTGAAAAATGTAATTGGACTATTGAAGAATATTTCAGTATCTCTAACTTTTAGAACTGATCAAGCAGAAGAAAGTATTACTGAGCTTTAAGACAGGCTATTTGAAAATACACATCAAAGAGACAAAAGGAAAAATAATAATAATAAAGCATGCCTCAAATATCTAGAAAATAGCTTGAAAAGAGGAATAATAAGAGCTTTGGCCTTAAAGAGGAGGTAGACAGGAATAGGGGTAGAAAGTTTATTCAAAAGATAACATCAGAGAACTTCCCAAAATTAGAGAAAGATATCAATATTCAAGTAAAGAAAGTTATAGAATACCAAACAGATTTAATCTAAAGAAAACTACCTCAGGGTATTAAATAATCAAACTCCCAAAAATGAAGGATAAAGAAAGCTTCCTTAAAGCAGCAAGATGAAATAAACACAAAACATATAATAGAGCTCCAGTATGTCTAGTCCAGACTTTCAGTGAAAACATTATGGGCCAGCAGACAGTGTTATGATATATTAAAACTGCTAAAAAAAATACAGCCCACTTTCACAATTGAACACCATTGGACACATCTTCCAGACAGAAAATAAATAAACATAGAACTTAATCTGTGCTATAGAACAAATGGGCCTAATAGGTATTTACAGAACATTTCGTCCAGTGGCCGGAGAATACACATTTTTCCCCTCAGCACTTGGATCATTCTCAAGGATAGACCATATGTTAGGTCACAAAACAAGTATCAGAACATCCCAAAGATTTGAATTAACTTCAAACATGTTCTCTGACTACAATTTAACTAGAAATCAATAAGAAGAGGAATTTTGGAAACTGTATAAACACATGGAAATTAAACAATAGGTTGCTAAATGATCTTTGAGTGGTGTTGGGCCTGAGGGTGCACAGAAGTCAACAATTTAGGTTTGGAAACCTCCACCTAGATTTCAGAGAATGTATGAAAATGCCTGGATGCCCAGGCAGAAGTTTACTGCAGGGGTGGCGTCCTCATGGAGAACCTCTGCTAGATAGGGCAGTGTGGAAAGGAAATATGGGGTTGGAGGCACCACAAAGAGTCTGCACTGGGACACTGCCTAGTTGAGCTGTGAGAAGAGGGCGACCATTCTCTAGTCCCCAGAATGGTAGATCCACAAACATCTTGCAGTCACTCAATGCCAGCCTGTGAAAGCAGCTGGAAAGGTAGGTGTTACTCTGCAGGGGCAGAGCTTCCCAAGGCCATGGAAGCCAACCTCTTGCGTCAGCATGCCCTGGATGTGAGACATGGAATCAAAGGAGATTGTTTTGGAAGTTTAAGTTTTAATGACTGCTCTTTTGGATTTCAGATTTGTGTGGGACATGTAGCCCCTTCGTTTTGGCCAATTTCTTCCATTTGGAATGGCTGTATTTACCCTATGCCCATACCTCCATTGTATCTAGGAAGTAACTAACTTGCTTTTGATTTTACAGATTCACAGATGGGAGGTACTTGCCTTGTTTCAGATGAGGCTTTGGATTTGGACTTTTGGGTTAATACTGGAATGAGTTAAGACTCTGGAGAACTTTTGAAAGGGCTGGGTTTTGAAATGTTAAGACATGAAATTTAGGAGGGGATGTGGAAAAATGATATGGTTTGGCTTTTTGTCCTCACCCAAATCTCATTTTGAATTGCGATCGTGTAATCCCCACATATCATGGGACAGACTCTGTGGAGGTAATTGAATAAGGAGCAGTTTCCCCTATGCTGTTCTTGTGATAGTGAGTGAGTCTCACAAAATCTGATTGTTTTATAAGGTTCTGGCATTTCTCCCACTTGCTTTCATTCTCTCTCCTGCCACCCTGTGAAGAAGTACCTTCTACCATGATTATAAGTTTCCTAAGCCCTCCCAAGCCATGCAGAACTGTGAGTCAATTAAACCGCTTTTCTTTATAAATTGCCCAGTCTCAGGTATTTCTTCATAGCATCATGCAAATGTACTAACACAGTAAATACTTGTGATGGTTAATATTGTGTTGATTGGATTGCAGGATGCAAAATATTGTTCCTGGGCATGTCAGATGGGGTGTTGTCAAAGGAGATTAACATTTGAGTCAGGTACTGGGAGAGGCAGACATACTCTCAGTCTGGGTGGGTACAATCTACTCAGCTGCCCGCATGGCTAGAATAAATCATGAAGAAGAAGTTGGAAAGAGCAGACTTGCTGAGTCTTGCAGCCTTTGTCTTCCTTCCATGCTTGATGCTTTCTGTCCTTGAACATCAGACTCCAAGTTCTTCAGCTTTTGGACTCGTATACTTACACCAGTGGTTTGCAAGGGGCTCTTGGGCCTTTGACCACAGACTGAAGGCTGCACTGTCAGCTTTCCTACTTTTGAGGTTTTGGGACTCAGACTGGCTTCCTTGCTCCTTGGCTTGCAGACAGCCTAATGTGGGACTTCACCTTGAGATTGTGCAAGTCAATACTCCTTAATGAACTGTACTTCATATATACATGTATTCTATTAGTCCATTCCTCTAAAGAACCCTGACTAATATACCCAAGAATGGAAGGATGGTTCAACGTATGCAAATCAATCAATTAATGTAATACATTATATCAACAGAATGAGGGATAAAAAAGATATGATCATTTCAATTAATGCTGAAAAAGTGTTTGATGTAATTCAACAACACTTTATAATAAAAAACCTCAAAACACTGAGTATAGAGGAAACACACCTCAGCATAATAAAATATATGTATGACAGTACCACAGCTGTTATTATGCGGAATGGGGGAAAACTGGAAGTCTTTTGTCTAAGATCTGGAACATAACAAGGTTGCCCACTGTCACCACTGTTTCTCAACATAGTCCTGGAAATGTCAGCTAGAACAATCATAGAAAAAAAATTAAGGTCATCCAGTTTGGAAAGGAAAAAATCATATTATCCTTCTTTGCAGTTAATATGATCTTATATTTGGAAAAACCTAAAGCCTCCACCAAAAACCTATTAGAACTGATAAATAAATTCAGTAAAGTTGCAAAATACAAAATCAACATACAAAAATCAGTAGCATTTCTATATGCCAACAGTGAACAATCTGAAAAAGAAAATTTAAAATTTAATCCCTTGTACAATGGCCACAAATAAAATTAAATACCTGGAAATTAACTTTACTAAATCTGGGAAAGATGTCTACAATTAAAACAATAAAACACTGGTGAAAGAAATTGAAGAGGACACAAAAAATTGAAAAAATATTGTATGTTCATGTGTTGAAAGAATCAATATTGTTAAAATGTCCACACTAATCAAAGCAATCTACAGATTCAATGAAATCACTATCAAAATATCAATGACATTCTTCACTGAAATAGAAAAAAGTCTTAAAATTTATATGAAACCACAGAAGACCCTATATAGCCAAAGCTATTCGAAACACAAAGAACAAAACTGGAAAAATTATATTACCTTACTTCAAATTATACTACAGAACTCTAGTAACCAAAACAACATGGTACTGTCATAAAAACAGACACACAGATCAATGGACCAAAATAGAGAACTAAGAAAAAAATCCATTAATCTATGCTGAATTCATTTTTGACAGATGCCAAGAACCTCCATTGGTGAAAAGACAGTCTCTTTAATGAATAGTTCTGGGGAAACTGGACATCTGTATGCATATTAATGAAAGTAGACCCCGTATCTCTTGCCATATACAAAAATCAAATCAAAATAGACTAAAGATTTAAATCCTAGACTTCAAATTATGAAACTACTAAAAGATAACATTGGGGAAAGTCTCTAGGACATTGTTCTGGGCAAAGATTTCTTGAGTAACACCCATAAGAATAGGGAACCAAAGCAAAAATGGACAAATGTGATCACATCAAGTTAAAAGCTTCTGTAAATTGTGTTAGTGAGGAATGACATTAGTATTTCAATAGCAAAGGAAACAAAGTGAAGAGAAAATGCACAGAATGGGAAAAAACATTTGCCAAATATTTGTTTATAAGAGATTAATATTTGGAACTTATTATAAAAGAAACTCAGACAAATCTATAGGAAAAAAATCTAGCAATCTGATCCAAAAATAGGTCAAAGATCTGAATAGATATACAAATGGCAAACAGGAATATCAAAAGGTGCTCTGCATCATTGATCATCAGACAAATGCAAATCAAAACTACAGAGATATCATATCCTAGTTAAAATGGTTTTTATGTCAGTGAGGAAGTGGAGAAAAATGAACACTTGCACACTGTTGATGGGAATATAAATTAGTACAACCACTGTGGACAACAGTTTGTACACTTCTCAAAAAAGTAAAAATAGAACTACCATGTGATCCAGCAATCCCACTGCTAGGTAAGATAAAGAAAATCATAATATAGAAGACGTATGTGCACCCCCATGTTTATTTCAGCACTTTTCACAGTAGCCAAGATTTGGAGCAACCCTAGTGTTCATCAACAGACAAATGGATAAAGAAACTGTGATACATATACACAATGGAATTCTACTATTCGCTCATAAAAAAATGAGATCCTGTCATGTGCAACAATATAGATAGAACTAGAGGTCATTATGTTAAGTGAAATAAGCCAAGCATCAGAAGAAAAACTTCACATGTTCTCACACTTACATACTATATGCCCTTTAGATATTATTTGTGGAAGCTAAACATTAAAATAATTGAATTCATGGAGATAGAGAGTATAGGGATATTTACCAAAGGCTGGGAAGAATAATGGAGGTGTGTGTGTTGGAGGAGGTGGGGACAGTAAGCATGGTTAATGGCACAATAAAATAGAAGGAATGAATAAGACTTAGCATTTGCTAGCACAACGGGGTGACCATAGTTAATAATAAATTTAATTGCACATTTTAAAATAACTAAAGGAGTATAATTGAATTGTTTGTAACACAAAGGATAAATACATGCAGAGACAAATATGTCATTTAACTTGATGTGGTTATTATGCATTGCATGTCTGTAACAAAGTATGTCATGTACCACAAAAATATAAACACATATTATGTAACAACAAAAATCAAAATTTAAAATTAAAAAAATAAAATTTATAAAATAAAATGCTTTTGAATATTATAATTTTATAATTAATTCATTAGTTTCCAAATAATCAATGACAAATACAAATGTATTTAAAAATATTTTATGAATTAGTCATTTTCTAATACAAGGTTGCATGGACATGTAGGGGAAATAATACTTTAGATTTTTGCAGAAATGACAAACACAAAATCTCACCCTTAATGGAAACTTGTGAATACAGGATTACATTTACCTCATAGCAATATGTTCTTGTAAATGGAATAGTAACAAATTTAAAATTAAATTCACACCATTCCTTTATAGAAAATATGAGGAAATGATATGTCTCAGTATTTTGTTTTGTGTTTTTTTTGTTGTTGTTGTTCTCTTCTCCAACTTTAGTACAATTTCTGAGTACTGCGCTCAACTTCTTTGTCAAATTTCTCTCTGTTTAGTTGCAACCCACGTGCAAGAGGCTCTATCATGATTTATGCAGGATTCACCAGGATGAGAAAAGCAAAGTCATATATTTATTGCTTTCTAACTGAGCATCCATCATCCAGACATTTTACATACTATATGCCCTTTAGATATTTACAACACAATAACATTTATCTTGGATGTAACAGGCTCATATTCATGAAACAACTGTATAGTTCAACTTAACTGCAGCAAAAGTATAAATTTTAATAACAAGGAGAGAGTATGAATCTTAGGGTAAGATGCACATGGCTTCAAATCCTCCAAATCCATCCTTTAAAAACTGTCTCCATAGAGTTTCTGAACACAGAAGACTTATTCCTCATATATGAGCTAATGCATAACATATTTAAAAAATAATCAAACAAATAAAATCAACCAAAAAATCTTTTCTGTCAGCACTGATGTTTCTTGGTATTAGACATTTTTAATCATTTTTTAGCTGTAATTACAGAATATAGATTATAGGATACATATAAAATTTCATGCCATGTAAAGAGATGCAATACCTCTTGTCACATGTTTCTTCCCCTGGCTCGTTCACATATTCTGAGGACTTAAAAATATCTTTTTTTTTTTTTTTTTTTTTTTTGAGACGGGGTCTCGCTCTGTCACCAGGCTGGAGTGCAGCGGCGCAATCTCGGCTCCCTGCAACCTCCGTCTCCTGGGTTCAAGCGATTCTCCTGCCTCAGCCTTCCGAGTAGCCGAGACTACAGGCACGCGTCACCACGCCCGGCTAATTTTTGTATTTTTAGTAGAGACTTTAGTAGAGATTTCACCATGTTGGCCAGGATGGTCTCGATCTCTTGACTTCGTGATCCACCCGCCTCAGCCTCCCAAAGATCTGGGATTACAGGCGTGAGCCACCGCGCCCAGCCAAAAATATTCTTTTCATTAGACTTCAATGGGTAATATGAAAAACCAAATAGTCACACAGTGTTTCATTACTTTAGGACTGTTATTGGATATTGCTAGCATATTGTTTAAAAAGTTTGACAGGTTCTGAAATACTGGCTGGGTCATCGTTATTTGTCCTCTAGAATATTTCTAGAGTTTTGAATTTGAAAAGCACCATACATAGGGTTTTCTATTTTATTTCAGTCAGAAGTATTAAAAGTACTACTATCAGTATGATTTCATTAATCATGTAATATTTTATCAACAAAATATAGAAAAAGATATACAGAACAGTAATTTAAGTCAAATAACTTTATGGAACACTTAAAATAATGTCTTTATTTTTATCTTTATGAATCAGTGGTGAATATTGTCCTTTATAAGTCAGAATGATCTACTGAACAGACTTTCTCAATCACTCACCTAGACCAAACTAAAGTGTGTGTCCTCCCCAAATTCCTGTCCTCCCCTTGCAGGTATTCATTACTCCAAATTCAAGACTTCATCAGTAAAACATATTTTAGTTCTACAGACACCAACCATGAAAGTACTTTCAGTAATAAGCTTGCTGGCATTCTGATAATACAGCACTTTAAACTTGTTCCTGGTGGAATTATTTTGTTGAGAATTTAGACTTATTTTTTTCAGCACCACCTGAAAGTATACATTGTCTTGCAAAGTCGCTTTTTGACTTTCTGTCTTCCTGTTCTGGAATGTAAGCACTATTAGACCAGTGATTTTTGTCTTTTTTGTTTGTGTCTTCATCCTCTAGATGAGGAAAGCACTCACTTCTAGGGAGTATTCAGTAAGTATTGAAGAAATTTTTTACATTAAATGAGTACTTAGTAGTATCTCATATCACATGTCATTTGGTCATTAATTTATCTTTTTAATCATTATCTATATATTATAAAGAAAAAAGAAAAAAACTTCTGACATCATTTTTTCACACCACAGTTGATTCATTTTTGGCATGTATTTATATGTTGGGCACATTAGAGTATCTATGCGTGTAGAACTAGTAGTCAAAAAGAGTTAGCATATTCCAAAACTCAGTTAAACATTAGAAACAGCCCCAAGAAGCTGTAGCTAGAGATGTTATGCATTTATGTTACACAGGAACTGTTATAGAATCTGTGTTTCGACCCAACTGGGGATACGCTTCATATAAAATTAAGTGGTGTATAAAATAAAATCAATATATATTTTATATCAAAGGGTTAAAGACAGATGAAAGGATACAGAGGTAACAGCCAAAAAAAACCCTGAAAACTTTAATGTCTATGCTGTAGCAAGAATTTTTAATGGATTTGAAGTAAATAGAGCCTCCTTTTGATGCAGCTGCCAAAGACTCTGTAGTTCAAGTGAATTGTCAGTAACTAAAAATGACACGAGTGATGTTCTGAAAATAGTCTGGAGACCCTGATAAGGAAATGGCCTCACAGCAGACATCATTGTGGAATAAGCACAAAGTGGGACTCAGGCTAAGACTAAGAGGAATTCAGTCATGAAAGAAGACAATTACCAAATGAAGTGGAGAGGAAGGATGTTGAGTCTTTACAGAATTAAAATTCCCCATTGTCTTGACTTATGAAAGGAAAATAAAATTAATCTCAGAACTCCACTGCTGAACATGAGTAGACAAATTTATAAAATTATTTTAGAGCAATGAATAAAATAAATAGTATTACTTTTATATTATGTCCTCAGTTTTTTCAAGTCAATTATTTATTAGCATTTGACTATTATTTTGTAAGCCATAAAATATGCTATGAGTCCATGTACAGAATATTATCAGACTGGTTGTGTTATTGCAATCAGAGATGTGTAGACCATCCCGTGCAGTGTTGGCAGGACATCCCGTACATCATGAATTTCCACTCCCCTCTGCTTGCTGTGTGTGGGTTAACTAATAAATACTCCATCTTAATCTTGCAAGCCATTTGATAAAGGCATTTTGCAGAATGTCATCTGTCAATTCTTTCCAAAATCCTCTAATTCTTCCTTGAAAGTGACCACTAAAAATTTCGGAAGATTACTAAAATGAAGTTGATTGTATTTGTCTTGCCAAAATAATTGTGTCTATCATGTTTACTTAAGCAAATTACAGAGAAAAATGAAGCGTATATTTAATGAAAGAAGTTTCAGAATCAGATTTGTTCAAGAAAGGTGACTTTGTTTCTTTCAATTATCTTAAAAATCCAATCCTGAATTTCTAGTAAATTAATTTTAATTGATGTTTGATTCAAGCTTTTAAGACTAAATAATTATATACAGCTTTCTGAATTAGATAGTATCATCTTGGAATCATAGTATTATGAGACTAGTAAAGATAACGAGCATAATTTAAAATATTCCTTAAGAAATTCCAGGAGAGTTTAATATGTTCACATATGTACATACATAAAATAAATGAAGGGTACTCGATTTAAACGCTGGAGGAAGGACATGGACAAAATTATACAGAAAATTTTATATTGTTCTGGATATTTTGTATATATAATTAAAATATAGGTGTGTTATATAATGAAAATATGGGGGGGTGTATGTGCGCATGTGCACACACATTTTAACTTCAAATTCCAATACACAGAAATGAGAGCATTAATAAGAATTTTACAGTTTTGGTTAGAAATAACAACGTTGCAAGAGTCAATCCTCTCATTCTAACAAAGAGTAAAAGCAATATAATTTGCAAAATCTTATTTTTATAAATATATGTGTGTATGTATCTGTTTATTTTTACCATTGGAATGATGAAGACTCAAAGAAGCCTAAATAAATCAATACATTTTAAATGAGATGTGCAGATTCTCGAACAGAAATCTGTGGCAACTTTCATCACTGTGGTCACTGGGTGAGCAGAGGGGCAAACACGTTAGTGCCCTTTTTAAAGCCACAAATAGCTTGTTGTGAAGGGTGAGATTCTGAGACCGGTACATATAGCATGTCCAAGTCCACCAGCCAGTTCTTTCCCAGAGCTTTCAGCGGTGTGTGGCTTCTGCGCACCACAGGCAGAAGGCAGGACAGGAGGGCTTGGAGAAGCCCATTCACAGGTGACCAGGTGTTTATCATGTGACGCAAGGTCGCAGATCGTCAAAGGCTGGGGCAGGGCAGAGAAGCTGAGAAGGACCTCATCAAGTAAGACACGTAGGGTCCATACCATATAATAAAAGGATTGGAACAGGGCAGATCTGAGAGAGAATCACTGGGCCTCCATGGCTTCCATCCCAGGCGGATATATGGAGGCGAAAGGGTGGGTGTTTCAGCGGCTGCTCTTTCCTACCACATACCTGTAGATTATCCAACTAGGAAACCGCAATGCCTGGGTTCTCACAGTGGCCAATGAACAAACTAGAAGCAACTTCCTCCTCTCATCCTAAGACAGAATGTCCATGTAATTCAGCGAGCTTCTCTTCCATTACATGGGGCTGGCATCAGTAGTGATGTGACTGAACTCCCTTGGAATATATTTTAATTCTCGATAGATTTTTTCTTGTTTTTTACTAATAAAGTCAAAGCATCATTTAATAAACACACTATGTAGAGCATGTTGTGCAGCTCTAGCTGAGAAGGAAAGTTAAGGTTGTTAATTGTCCTTTCACAAATGCTTTTATGAACTAGCCCAGATTTGCTTTAACACAAGCAGTAGAACTTGGCTAATTGCACGTGCCATCCTCAGAGGAGTTAATAAGAAATAGGTCTTGATAATTAAGATTTTTTAGCAATTTTATTTTGTTTAATGAGGTCAAAATGGACACAAAAACAGTTAATTTGGTATCTATTTAACTTGTTCATGGTATAGAATTTTTAAAAACTGGCCTGCTAGAATTTTGATTAGGATTGCATGAAATTTATAGATTAATGTAGGGAATACTGACATTTTATTTATACTGACTTGATTTCATAACTATGGTATTTATATAAACTTTTCCTTAATCTAGATATTCTTTAACTTTATTCAGTAATGCTTCTTAATTTTCAATATTCATTTATTGCACATATTTGGTTATATTTATCCTAAAGTATTATATTTTTCAAATATTTCCCTACATTGCATTGTTTTAATTTTATTTTCCAACTTTTTACTTTTATTGTAGAGAAATAAGTGAATTTTATATAATAATGTGTTAACTTGTAACTTTGCTACAATTACTTACAAGTTCTGCTTTTTTTAAGATTTTCTACATGCACGATCATATAATTCTTCTTTCCAATATGTACTGCTTTTATTTACTTTATTTGACTTACTGCAATAGCCAAGATCTTCAATAATATATAGAACATAGGTAATGATAGCTATTACTTTGTATTTTTCTTGATCTCAGGAGAAACTAGTCGATCTTTCACTAGTAAGTTTAATGTTAGCTCCTAGCTTTTTATAGCATTCTAAATAGCTTTAGGAAGTTCCACTCCATTATTGGCTAGGATTTAGCATCATGATCAGATGCTGAATTTAGTTATTATGTCTACTTATAATTAGATCATTCTAAGAATTTTTTCTCATTTATTATATTAATATGTTGAACTGTCTTCATTAATTTTTCTCTTTTCTTTTATTTGTATAAATTTTAGGCGTATAATTGCTGTTGTTACATGAATATATTGCAAAATGATAAAGCCCAGTGTTTTAGTGTAACCATCACCCAAATAAGGTACAGTGAACCCATTAAGTAATTCTGTTTTTTTTTTTTTGTTTTTTTTTTGAGACAGAGTCTCGCTGTCACCCAGGCTGTAGTGCAGTGGTGCGATCTCGGCTCACTGCAAGCTCAGCCTCCTGAGTTCATGCCATTCTCCTGCCTCAGCCTCCCGAGTAGCTGGGACTACAGGTGCCAACAGGCCTGGCTATTTTTTATTTTTATTTTTATTTTTTATTTTTAGTAGAGACGGGGTTTCATCGTGTTAGCCAGGATGGTCTCCATCTCCTGACCTCGTGATCCACCCGCCTCGGCCTCCCAAAGTGCTGGGATTATAGGCGTGAGCCTCCGTGACCTGCCACCTTTAAGTAATTCTTATCCCTCTTCCCCTCCGCACTCTCCCAGCCTTCTTAGTCTCCAGCATTTATTACTCCTCATTTTGTCCATGTGCATGCATTATTTAGCTTTCACTTGTGAGAGCATGAGGTGTCCGTTTGAGTTGTTTCCCTTACGATAATGGCATCCAGTCTCATCCATGTTGCAGCAATTTTTTCTTCTTTATAGTTGAATAGTGTTCAATTATATACATACATGTATAATAGAATACATATATAATAGAATATATAAGGTTGGTGCAAAAGTAATTGTGGTTTGCCATAACATTAAAAGTAATGGCAAAAACCGCAATTACTCTTACACCAAACTAAATATATATGCCATATATTCTTTATCTTTTTACGCATTGATGGACACTTAGAATTAAAGACTAATTCTAAATCTTTGCTATTGTGAAGCAAAACATAAACATGATAAACATATGAGTGTGGTATGTTTTTAATATAGCATATGAGCTGTGATACACATATGAGTGCAGTATATTTTTAATGTAACAATTTCTTTTCTTTTGAATAGACACCACTAGTGAAATTGCAGGATGGAAGGATAATTCTATTTTCAGTTTTTTAAGAAATCTCCATACTGTTTTCTATAGAGGTCGTACTAACTTACAGGCCCACCAACAGTGTGTAAGTATTCAGTTTTCCTTTTATCTTCGCCGATATCGGTTACTGTTTGACTTTTTGTGATAGCCATTCTGGCATAAGACACATTAATTGATTTTTAATATTAAAGCAACTTGCATTCCTGGGATACACTCTACTTAATCACCATTTTCTTCAATTACATATATAACTGAATTTCATTTGCTAAAATTCTGTAAAGGCTTTTTGGCAGGACTTTATTTTTTTTTCTACTTTGTATTTCTTAGTCTACGTTTGATATAAGTGAAACACTTGCCTCATAAAATGATCTGGGAGGGTTTTTAATGTCCCCTATATTATTGAAGAGTTTGTGTTACATGAGTATCATTTCTTTCTTAAGTATTCGACAAAATTCACAAGCAAATACATCAATGGCTACTGCTTTTTTTTGTGGGAATAATTTTAAATAAACATTTAAAGTCTATAATAGATATAGGTTTTTGAGATTGTCTATTCTATAGCCATTTTTTAAAAGTCTCAACTTTTGAATAAACTTGTCAGTTTCTTCAATGTTGTTAAGTCTATTAGATTAAATTGTTCATATTTTCTCATTAACCTGTTAATGTGTAAGGATTGTAAGAACGTTCCTTCTTTCATACTATGGTATCTCATTTTAGTTTTAATAGGCTCTGATGATCAGCGATGTTGAGCTCTTTTTCATGTGTTTGTTGGTCGCATAAATGCCCTCTTTTGAGAAGTGTCTGTTCATATGCTTTGCGCACTTTTTGATAGGGTTTTTTTTTCTTGTAAATTTGTTTAAGTTCCTTGTAAATTTTGGATATCGGACCTTTGTCAGATGGGTAGATTGCAAAAATTTACTCCCACTCAGTAGGGTGCCTGTTCACACTGATGATAGTTCCTTTTGCTAAGCAAAAGCTCTTTAGTTTAATTTGATCCCATTTGTCAATTTTGGCTTTTGTTGCAGTTGCTTTTGGTGTTTTTGTCATGAAGTCTACTATAAAGACATATGCACACGGATATCTATTGCAGCACTATTTACAATAGCAAAGACATGGAACCAACCCAAATGCCCATAATGATAGACTGGATAAAGAAAATGTGGTACATATACATCATGGAATACTATGCAGCCATAAAAATAAATGAGATCATGTCCTTTAGGAACAGAAAACCAAATACCACGTGGTCTCACTAATAAGTGGGAGTTGAACAATGAAAACACGGACACAGAGAGGGGAACAACACACACCAGGGCCTGTTGGGGGATGGGGCTGAGAGAAGAGAACTTAGAGGGCAGGTCAATAGGTGCAGCAAACCACCATGACACACGTATACCTATATAACACACCTGCACGTTGTGCACATGTACCTCGTTTTCTTTTAGAATAAATTATATATAAAAATATATAAATATAGAATAAATTTATATTACACACACACACACACACACACACACACATATATATATGTAGAGTGCTTTAGTTTGCTTCCTTTTATGTAGAGTGCTTTAATTTGCTCTTGCTTTTGTAGTGCCTGAAGGCAAAAATTTAGGTTATTGTTTGGGGACCATTCTTTTCTATGACTTAAATTTTGATGTTTTTTCATTTATATTTAGTTCAATATACATTCTAATTTATTTTGTAATTTCTTCTTTAACTTTGGATTAAACATGTCTTATTTAATATCAAACTATTTAAGATTTATCCCAGATATCTTGTGGTAATTAATTTTTAATTATTCTGTCATAGAATATTGTTGGAAAAGAATATACTTTACATTATTTCAAGTTAAAAAAATTTAATGAAGCTTATTTTATTGAACATCATATAGTCTAGTCTTGGTAAATATCATTTGTTTTCTTAAAAAAGTTTGCTTATTCTGATATCATTGGGTGGAATATTCTACAAATGTCAATTAGGTCATGTTATTTTAAAATGTTGTTCAAGATTTCTATACCTATACTAATTTTGTTTGTTTGTTTGTTTCACAGCAGAGTCTCACCCCGTCACTCAAGCTGATGTGTAATGGCACAATCACAGCTCACTGCAGCCTCAAACTCCTGGGGTCAGGCTGTCCCCCATCTCAGCCTCAGGTGTGGCTAGGACACAGGCAGGCAACATCATGCCGAGAGAATTTTAAAAAATTTTTGTAGAGACAATATCTCGCTATGTTGCCTAGGTTAGTCTCAAATGCCTGACCCTAAGAGACCCTCCTATCCCAGCCTTCCTCCGAAAGCACTGGGATTATAAGCCTGAGCCACCAAGCTCAGCTACATATATTAATTTTTGATCCATTTGTTTTATCCATTATTGAGGGGGGACAATTAAAATTTCCAGCTAGCTGTGTGAATTTTTCCATTCCTTCAAACAATTTTATTAGTTTTTGTTTCTGTATTTATAAGTCTAAGTGCTTGAATATTTAGTGTTGTTGATTTTCTTGATGAATTCACCCACTTAACATGACTGCCTCTCAAATCCTGTGTAATTTGGAAAAAGCTAAAATGTATTTTTTATAATATGTTGGCACTCCAGCTTATTTATGATTATGTACAATATATATTTTCCATTATTTTATGTTTAAATATGTGTATTTTTAATTAATGTGGTGTTCTTGAAAACCACACATTTTGGGGTGTTCATTTTTCTCCAATTTAAAAATCTTTGCTTTCCAATTAGTGTTTACTACATTTATAAGTAATGTAAATATTGATATTATTTATTTGACCTTATTGCTATTATTATTCAGTGTAACCATCCATTCTTTTTCTATTTTTCCCTCTCCTCCTGACTTTTTTTGAATGAATACTGTATTAGTTTGCTATGGCAGCCATAACAGAGTACCATAGACTAGGTGGCATAAACAGCAGAAATTTACTTCTAGTCTTGGAGGATAGAAGTCTGAGATCAGGGTGTCAGCAGCACTGGTTTCTTCTGAGGCCTCTCTCTTTGGCTTGTAGACATCCATCTTCTCCTTGTGTCTTCACATGATCTTACCTCTGGGCATGTTTGTATTCTTATTTTTACTTACGTGGATATCAGTCATATTGGATTAGGGCCCACTATAATGACATTATTTAAATTTACTTACCTTTTTAAATAATCTATCTCCAAATACAGTCACATTCTGAGGTAGTGAGGGTTACAACATCAACATATAAATTTTGGAGGGATATAGTTTTACCCATACAATATATATATATATATATTTAGGATATATATATATATGTGTATATATATATATATATCTTTAGGATTCCATTTAATTTTTTCTATTACATTTTTTACTACCTCACAATATGTAATTTATTTCTTCATTTTTAACCTATAATTTAACATTTACATATTTATCTTACCATACCTTCAATTAATATTTTCCTAACTTAATATAAGACAATAAAACAAGGGTCTTTTATTTCTCTTCTCTGTCAGTTATACTCTAGCTGTTAGATAATACTTTGCGTGTGTTAGAAACTTCAAATACATTGTTATTTTTGCTTCAAAATGTATTGAGATGATGGTCAATACAAAACCTCAGGCAGAAAGTGCATATATTTTTGAGTTATGTTGCACAGCGTGGTGAATATAGTTAGTAATAATATTGTACATTTAAAAATTGCTAAGAGTGGTAAATTTCAATGTTCTTATTGCAAAAAATTGTTAAATATTTGAGGTTACAGATGTGTTGACTTTAATTATTCCACATTATATTTATAAATCATAACATCACTTTGTACCCCATATATTTATACAGTTATAAATCATCAATTTACCATAAAATAATTGCTTTTAAATAAAAAATAAAATGATAGATATTTCTCTTAAAACTAAGCTTTTTTTTACACACATTAGTGCAGTAATCATGTTAATAATAGCATTTTATAGACTTTGTCTAATTTCAGCATCCCTACTATGGATGGTAGGGCATAATAACTAATAATAAGAAAGAAAACGGCCAGATGCAGTGGCTCACACTTGTAACTCCAGCACTTTGGGAGGCCTAGGTAGACTTATCACAACATCAGGAGTTCAAGACCAGCCTGGCCAACATGGTGAAACCCCATCTCTACTAAAAATACGAAAAATTAGCCGGATGTCGTGGCGGGCACCTGCAATCCCAGCTACTCAGGAGGCTGAGGCAGGAGAATCACTTGAACCTGGGAGGTGGAGCTTGCAGTGAGCCGAGATTGCACCGCTGCACTCTAGCCTGGGCAACTGAGCGACACTCCATCTCAAAAAAAACAAAAACAACAACAAAAAAAAAAAGAAGAGAGAGAGAGAGAAAGAGAATACGAGTGAAGTAAGCAAACAATGGTATGGAGGTGGAATTTCACAATAACTTAGTATTTAGCATAAGTTCAAGGAGAACATCATACTGATTTCTGGAGCTCCTTCATTGCATGTCACCCTTCTCTGTGTTATATGCCTAACAGATTACAGTCATTCTTCACAAAATGTGGTCTTTGTCCTATCAAGTAAATAGGACCACCATGTCTTACTCCCCATCCCATGAACCAAAATGTGTTTCTAGGCAGAAAATCACCATAGAGCTCACTTCAATAGTTTTCTTTCTTTTGGGGATCACAGTCTGTGCTGAATCTTCTTCAATGCCCTCTCCAGCGGAAACTGTTGTTTTATATTTTGTGTGGGAAATTTCGTTTGTTTATTGTGGTAAGTTAATTCTAATTTATTATGATTGATTCATGATGGTTGATAAGAGCTACTAAAAATAAATCTTCAAGCATTTTAACAATTAAATTAAGTATAACACTGCACTATTTTCCCAAGATGATGAATGTAAAGGTCTTCTGTTGTATAAGTTTTATAATCAATAAAATATGAACGTAATGACTATTGAAGAAAGAGTTTTAAATTTATACCAACTAAGATATCTGATATTTGAGCCAAAGTGGAGGTGCTTTTATATTTATTTTTATTGTAATTAATCTAAAGTAATTAAGATTTAATTTTACTTAAACATTTTTGTAAAAAAAAAATCACCTGAAAATTTGAAAGTCCTCTGAGATAAGATTTTGGAAGAATTGTTTAATATTTGTAATTTTGGGGATTTTATATAATCAAATATTTATTTTATATTTAAAATATAAATTATTATTTTCTTACTTTTACATCTTTTATGTAAAAGAACAGGAAGAGAATTGTGTGTCTTATTATAACTAAGAGAATAAAGAATGAGTCATAAAACTCCTTCTGAGAGATTAATAACAAAATGATGAATAAAAAATCACTTCTGGAAACCTGGTAATAATTCTGTAAGTAACACAAATCAAATAAATAATCCAATGAGAAAAATATGAAACAAACAAAATGAGAATTCTCAATATATGATTTTAAGCTAAAATTAAACTTAAAGAAAATGTATAGTCATAAATCCACATGCAAAATGAGAAAAATGTGATGAAATAAATGAATCTCTCCAAAGAAGTTTGAAGAGGAATCACAGATTAAATGCAAAGTGAATCAATATAAAAGCAAAAAATAGAATATCAGAAATTAGTAAAATGGAAAATAAATATATATTGCAAAGAATCAATAAAATAAAAATTCAGATCTCTCAAAAGCCTCATGAAAATAATACATACTTAGCAACAGTATTTAGTAAAAGGTGATAACTTATAGTGAACAGAAAAAAAGGGGAATGTCACTGTAGATCTTAAAGATTTAAACATGCAATCAAGTTATTATAAAAAATTGTGCCTGTATATTTTGAAATACAGATTCAATGACAGAATTGTTAGACAAGAACAACTACTGACGATTGCACAAAAATAGTGGAAAACCTTGAAATTTCCATATTTGTTAAAAAATATAAATTTGTATTTGCGCAATTTCTAAAAAGTATTTCAAAGATCTTACAGACTCTTGAATTCCTTCCAAGCATCTAAGAAAGACCAAAAAAAAAAAAAATCATGTATCAATTCTTGCAAGGAATACAATAATAGAAAACACTTTAAATCATTTAATGAGAATTCCACATTCATCATTCAAAAGCATAAACTTTAAAATAAAAGAAAATTTGTTATTCATATGTAATAATGTAAACATAAATGAATATTAGCAATCTAATTCTAGTGCAATAATAGTGGAGCAGAATAGAGACTTAAAATAAAATTCCACACGTTTAAAAATATTCAATTAATAATGAAAGTTATAATACATGGCAAGTTTCTGTTTGATTAATGATGCTGGAAAGATTGAGTATCCAAGAAAAAAAATTCTGACCTCTACCTCGTCGTATGGAGACAATGTCTTATATGGATGATAATTCAAAATGTACATAGTGAGACAATAAAGCTTTTTGAAAAAGCTATAGAAAAATATTCTTATTGCTTCGAGTTTCTTAAACAGACCACAAAGGTGAGAAAGTGTTTTCATTACACGTAGAGCCTGGTAATCTGAACTACTTTAGAACTAAGAACTTTATCAAAATTCACCATAAAAAGACTAAAATAGGAGACAACTTAATGAATATGACTGATTATACGTATATGAATTTATATATAGCAGGTTTCATATCACCTATGTATGTATGCATCGAAGAGCAATTTATACCCATAGCAATTTATGTACTTTAAATAGTTCTTATGAATAATGAGAAAATGACATCGATCAGCCCTATGGAAAAAGAACATAGTTTCTGAACAAGCACTCCACAACGATAAGGATATCCAAATGTCCCATGAACACGTAAAATAACTTTAAGTGATCACAAATATAAAACAGACTTCTTAGAACTATGCAGTTAAAAACAATTTATCAACAATTTTTGCAAACTTTTTCTTCTTAGATGTTAAGACAAAGCTGTGTTTCTTTATAATTTGCTATGTCAACTCAAATACAGATATTAAAAATGAGCAGTTCCTCAGACTAAATATTAAGTAAGACTTTCTACTAGGACCTTCCAATATGTAAAATCATACAAAACAAATTAAAAATTCTGTTTTGTAATCCACTTACAGAAAAGTGGGGCCAGCAATAATACCTTGTCCTCTTACCCTGTGTTGTTCTTTATGACAACTTTCATTATTATTTTACTGATGGGTCAGGGAATATTCAACTTGTTTTTAATTTAAGGAAAGTTTAGGAAAACATAACAATTGCTGAGAACTTAAAAGCCAGAAAAAAATAAGAAATTTCACATAAATTTGCATGATTACTGAATGCTATTCATTTTATAATAAAGTTTTGAATCAAAGCCTGTAGCATTAATTGAAGATTCATTTGTATTCAGGGCCCTTTGAAAGCTCTTTATGAATAAGTTCCAAGATTATTACATTTTTAAAGAAAATGGCCTAAATCAATGTTCAGTAATGAAAACAAGCTGTCATAAAGCATTTCATGAATGGCTGCAAGGAAAGAGATAGTCACTGAGTTCAGCTATGGGGTTCTGACCCAATGAAGTTGTAAGTTGTTGATCATTTGGCAGGTTGAAAGGTCTACCCATTGTCTGCAAAGTCACCTCGCCCTCTACAGCTCACATCCTCTTGTTAGAGAGCAAGACTCTTCTCTTTTTCTTTTTACAATTTGGCATCAGCCAAAAATTTCAAACAATTATGCTCATGACATTCTGAAGAAAAAAAACACTATTGAAAAAACACAGCTTATGGTCTAAAAAAATCTCTTCAAATCAGTGGGCACTTGATTTACATTAATCATCTTGTTTCTTAGAGATTTTGAAGTCTGACTGAAATGACAGCGGTTGTAAAACAAAAGCAATGAGCTAAGGCAACATTTTAAAATATAATTATCATTCTGATGCTTGCAAGCTAAATTATTGTTTGAACAAAAGCATATTTTTAACGATGTCCTCTTTACAGACAAACCTCTTTACAGATAGTTTTTTTTCTTAAATTCCTATATTGTACCTTAAGTTGATGAAACCAGATTAATCATAATACTTGGTCCATTATACAATTTATTAAAGGACCCTTCTAAATTTTATTTTTTATTTAATAATATAATAATGAACACACACAAAAATATCATTTACCTAAACCAAAAGACGGCCCCAATTATGGATGTACACTAATTCTTGAACCATTGGATGATCTGTTTATTGGAAAGAATAAGTTTAAAAGATATACAGCAAAGAGCTGTGGGAAAACGGTATGTGGGTAGACCTCTCAGAATAGAATTAATGTATACATATTTGTGTCTCTTGTGAATGATGAATAATCAGGTGAATAAAATGACTCATTATATGGCAGAACAACACCCTGTTTCTCCAATTATGTTGGGCTCACTCAATATGCCTATGTAAAAAGTGGTCATGTTAATAAGGATGCAAGGGCTGAAACTGTATTTTTCCTCACCAAAGCTAACTGCCACCTCTTGATTAATCCATTCAAAGCAGATAAAAATCCTGGGCCCCCATTTTTCAGGGAGATCAGACTGTCATGTGATGGTGGGCTTATCATGTTTGAATCTTTCTATCATGAAAGGTGCAGAGATTTGATCCTTCTAGCAGCTACCAATTCTGGGATACATCTTTGTTCACTGTTTGTTTTATCAAATTAACCAATTAATAGGCTTATACCTAGTTAAGAATTTTTAATATTAAATTTGTGATTATATTGGGTCATTTCCTATTGCTTTTAGACTCTAACCAATAAATGTATTGCATCCTTTTTCATTATTTCATCTTTGATCACATTTCAGTATCTTTATATTTAAATGTGTTTCTTTAAAAAAGTTTAAAGTTTGGTTTTCATTATTCAAGTTGAAAATTGTTTTCTTTTCATTGGAGTATTTATTCAATTTATAATTAACTTTATTATGCTTTATTCAATGGCTGACATATTTTAGTTTAACAACAATTTTCTGAATAAATTATAAATTCAATGTTATAAAAAAGTCAATAGAGATATAACAATATTAGGTACTGTACTGGCAAATTTTACATGTCGACTTGACTGGATTAAGGGATACCTGAATAGCTTATAAAGCATTATTTCTGGGTATGTCTATGAGGGTGCTTCTGGGAGAGATTGGTGTGTGAGTCAGTGGACTGAGTAGGAAAGGCCTACTTTCAATGTGGGTGGGCACCATCCAATCAGCTGGAGGCAAGATAAAACAAACAAAAAAAAAAGGGAAATTTTCTTTCTCTTGGAGTTGAGATACCTTCTTCAGGATCCTGCCCTTGGACAATAGAACTCCAGCTTTCTGGCCTTTGGACTCTTGGACTTGCACCAATTCCCCTCCCTCTCCCAGGTTCTCAGGCCTTTGGCCTCAGACTGAGAGTTACATATCAGATTCTCTGATTTTGAGGATTTTGGACTTGGACTGAGCCACGTTACCAACTTCTCTGGTTCCCCAGCTTGTGGACAGTGTGTTGTGGGACGTCTCAGCCGCCATAATCACGTGAACCAATTTACCTAATAAATCCCCTCTTTATCTATCATCTATCTATCTATCTATCTATCTATCTATCTATCTATCTATCTATCTATCTATTCACCTATCCATCCATCATCTATCTATCCTATTGATTCAGTCTCTTTGGAGAACCCTGACTAATACAGGTAGTTAGTATATTAATAAAGTAACATATAAAAAAATTGTGTTATTTTACCAGATTGGAAAAAGAAATCTCAATTTGTTCAAACTCCAATTTCTTCACAAACTTAAGGAAGGTAATATTTATTTAAATTTTGTGGTTTTATTTAAAAGAGATAATGCATATAAAATACATAATATAATACTCAGGACATAAAGGATATTTGATAAGTATTATTCTAAAATTTTATTTTCATATTTCTTTTTTATTCTCCTCCATTTTATATCATACAAAAAATTATAACAAGTAAAACGTGTAAAATAATTTTAAGACTACTAACGGTACACATTATTAATTTCAATACCCGGTGCAACATGATACATTTTCTAGGCAGGATAGAAAACACAGACGATTAAAAGCAAGCAAACATGATATAACTTCCAGATAAGCCATTTCAAGAACATCTATCTTCATATTTACCTTTCTTACATGTGTAATCAAATAATAATTCTACATACAGTTTTATAACTGTTTGCATTTGATTCACTGTGAAAAGTTTTCAGGAGTAAAATTTATCTGTGTGTTTGTATTGTTGCATTCATTATGGTTAACATATAACATTTAAACCATCATGAAGATTTGACATTACAAAGAATAGAGAAAAGATGTTAACTTTCTATAAAAATGCTTGGATTATACCATTTGTATAACATCCCAGACTGATTATTGTTAAAGGTTTTTCTTTCATTTGTTCATTTAGTCATTTTGTTCTCTATGCTCTTAGAGTTGCTGTTTTAGGTAAATGTAAAATATGTAAGATGATATTAAGTACTGTACAACTATGACATGGTACAAGAAAGAGTGAAGCAATGGTTGGAATTGGCAAATACCATGTTAGATATTATTTTAAGTATGATATTCTAGGAAGGTCTGTGATCTCGTAAAATTTGAGTAACCTCTTCATTGATATGAAGGAGCAAAACATTCAAAATCTGGGGAAAGAAGATTCCTACAGTAGGAGGACCAGTTGTAGACTTCAAGTGGGAGCATCCTTGATGTGGTGGAAAAGCAGACAGATGTTTAGAGGAGCTGAAGCTGAGGGCAACATTATTCTTTTTTTTTTTTCAACAGATGTCTATTTATTTACTTATTTATTTATATTATTATTGTAATAGTTTTGAAGGAACAGGTGGTGTTTAGTTACCTGGATAAGTTGTTTAGTGGTGATTTCTCAGATTTTTATCCACTCATCACCCAAGCAGTGTACGCTGTAACCAATGTGTAGTTTTTTATCCCTCACATCTCTCCCACTCTTCCCTGAGTCCCCAGAGTTCATTATATCATCCTTATGCCTTTGAGTCCTCACAGCTTAGATCCCATTTATAAGTGAGAACATACAGTGTTTAGTTTTCCATTACTGAGTTACTTCACTTAGAGTAATAATAACTCCAGCTCCATCCAGGTTGCTGTGAATGCCATTATTTCATTCCTTTTTATTGCTGAGTAGAATTCCATGGTATATATATCACATTTTCTTTATTGACTTATTGGTTGATGGGCCTTTAGGCTGGTGCTATATTTTCACAATTGCGAATTGTGCTGTTATAAACATGCGTGTGCAAGTGTCTTTTTTATATGACTTATTTTCCTCTGGGTATATACCCAGCAGTGGGAATGCCAGATCAAATGGTAGTTCCACTTTTAGTTACTTTGAACATTCTTCTAAAATGACTTTCAATCATCCCTGCCTCCTGTATTTATGACCTGTGTAATCCCCTCTACTTGATTGAGGGCTGTGTTTAGTAACTTGCTTTGAATAAATATAATGTGGCAAAAGTGATAAGATGCCACTTTCAAGATTAGATTTTAAATGACTGTGATTCTCTCTCTCTCTCTATTTTTGTTTGTGTACGTGAGATGTCATCTTTGTGTTGATGAAGCAAGCTATCATGTGGACAGAGCAATAGCGAGGACCATGTGGCAAGAGACTGAGCACAGTCTAGCTAATAGATAGCAATAAACTGATATCCACAGTTCACCAGCTCCAAGAAGCTGAATTCTGAAAAAAAGCACATGAGTAAGCTTATAAGTGGATCCTTCATTAATCACATCTTCAGATGCGACCTTAGCCCTGGCTGACAATTTGATGGTAACTGTGTGAATAAACCTGAAACAGAGCAGCCAGATGAACTGTCTGGATTCTAGGCCAACAGATTTTAAGATAATACATGTGTGCTGTTTAAATCCACTGATATTTGGGGGCAAGTTTTTATGCACTAGTAGATAACTAATACAAGATAAGTAAATTAGACGAACAGTCATAGTAAATAACATCAAAAAATGTCACTAGATGTAGATCAGAAAATGCATTTAGGTTTTGGTGGCTGTATGGCATTTTACTCTGACTTTGTACCTATTGTGGAGTCTGAGTGGACAATTTTTTTTGATATGACATACTTTTTGAAATGTGTTCTCTTCTTTATTAAAGAATATAGTGTTTGAAACTGAGCTATTAGAAAGGATAATTTTCATTATTTAAAAACATATTAAACCATAAAAAGCTGCTACCTCTTTAGTAATAATCTTCATTTAAATATTTTTTAAATCCAGCAAGAGATAAATTTTGAAACAAAACACAATTTTTCTTATATAATTAATGTTGTCCCTTAGACAAGACACTAATCCATTATTTTTTTCTAATTCTGAGAGGGTTCCCCCATAGTTGTTCTAAACATTGTTGAATGTTATAGCCTTTATCTATGTTTTTGAATTGTTTTATTAACTATGGTTAACATATGCCATTTAAACTATCATGACATTATGACATTATAAAGAGAAGAGATTATAACTCTATATGTCTAAAAAGGCTTGAATTATACCCTTTGTATATCATCCCAGATTAATAGCCATTTGAATGTACTTTCCTACGCTTTATTCAATGGTTGATATATGTTTCCTTATAGTTGTTGTAAACATTGTTGAATGTAATTGCTTTCTGAAAGGAAGTATTCTGTCTGTACAAATTTGAAAATTTAGGCACATTAACCGTTTAATTGTGAACATATTAAGAAATTCTCTACCAAAAAATTGTTTAAGGTAACTTAAGCTTTATGAACAGTGAACACTTAATTTTAATAGACATTTACAATATTATCTAGAATGATGACTGAGAAACATTTATTTATATGAAATCCTCCTTGGCAGATATAATTTTGCTGCAATAATAATCCCGGTTTATAGAATAATTATGGTAGAGTAATTATTGACTTCTGGCACATGGATAAGAATGAAAGTGAGCAAATATTTTTGATTGATGTGAAGGAGCAAAACATTCAAAATCTGGGGAAAGAAGATTCTCACTGTAAGAGGAGCAGTTGTAGAGAGTTCAAATGGAGCATCCTTGGTATGTTTGAAGAGCAGACAGATGTTTAGGGGAGCTGAAGCTGTGTGGAACAACTCAATAATGGGGGCGGGGAGGTGAATAATAAAACAGTAAGTGATTTTTCTATTATTGACTTGTAATCTAAATTACAAGAATTTATTAACTACAGATTTACAGAGTGCCAGAATAACCTTTGTCAGGGCAATGCGTCTACCATCATAATTAGTTTGTCATTGTTAATTTACAGAGCTTAGTACATTAAAACTTATTTTGCTACCTTAACTGATATACTATCTTGAAATTAAATATGTCAAGCAAGAACTTCCCCCTGTAATATAGAGTAAAATTTAGTTTAGACATTTTTATTGCATGAGAGCTATAAACACTATAAAGTTAACATTTATATATTAAACATAATTGCCCATTAAAGTGAGTAGAAAACATATTGTTCATTTTAAGTAATGAAGAATCATTGAATCTAGTTCTAAATTGTATGCTAAGGTGCATTCTAACAGTTTCTAGAACATTTAAGCCAACATAATTCACACCATTAACCATCACTTTTGCAAGATTAATGTTCTCTTGATACAGCTTTGATGAGATTTTTGTTTGTCTTATTATTTCAATATCCATTGTTGATGTATTCAACTAGATTAAAATTTATTCCTTGTATTATCTATTTATATGTGCAAAATACTTTCCTAAGTACTCATATAAACAAATTTCAGTTATTTCAGAATAATCTTTTGAAGTAGATTTTATTCTCATTTGTATCCCCTGTGAACAGTTGAGTGAGTCATGGGAGAGTCAAATGACTTATTCAAGGTGGAATATCTAGTTAGTTTTAAAATCTCAGTTTGCTCCCAGTTGTCTGGCTTAAAACCCTGTGTGCATAATGACTATACTACAGTCCTGGATTTATTTAAAATTAAATCAAATAAATTCAGAATTTGTTAGGTGGTTAGCAACTCATAGATAAGAAAGCAAAAGTGCAGAAAAGATGGCAAGACTGATGTCAAAATTTTCCCTCAGACAAAATAAAATATATGGGAAATTTTTCAGATTAGAAGATTGAAAAATCTATCTAATAGACTCCAAGATGATTATGTATTTTATTACAGAAAAGGGTATTATTCAATAATAATTCTAACTGTAATACTTCAGTAGGAAGTAGAATTTTACATATATTTTTATAATGGTAGGTCTTTGTTCAACGATGAGCTAAATAACAACTCACAATGTGAGTGATGCATGAACTAAAGAAGTGGAAAATATTTTGGAAAGCTCAGAGAAGAAATTATAAGTAAACATTTTTAAATCTCCACTTAGAACTGACATTTTTAATTGCTTAATTGCAACATGTATAGTTTTATTTTATATAAATCTAAAATTAATGTTTAAACAAATAATAAAATATATCTGATAAAAGTAATTTATTATCTCTGATTTCAATTAAAAATATTAGGGAATACTTTGATGGTTTCAAAATTTACTTTGATGATGTCTGAATCAATCCTAATTTTAAATACTTTTAAACACCATTTTGCTTGAAAAGAATATAAAGCTAGAAATGTTTTAAACATTTAATTACAATAACTCCAAAATCTAAAACAGTACATTTCACGTGGCACAAATTCAATAATTATTTGTAAAATAAATAGATGGGACAACATTGTGTGTAAAATTTCATGCCAAATTCAAAATTAGGTAGTGTGGCATATATAAAATTTTGCATTCTGTCTACTTTTACATTTATTGTAAGCATATTTTGACCAAATTGTATGTAGACAAATATAATACTACCCATGATATATTAATTGTATTTTTATTGTTAAAAATGAGTCTTGAAGGCATACTGTATATTGGACATTCACAGAGGAAATTTGAGATAAAAGAAATCACTGTAGATTAATGCTAGTTTTATAATACAAATAATATGTTAATAATATACTAAGCAAATTATATTATGTCTCCAATTTAAAATTATTCAATTCTGCATAGCAAAAAAACTATGATGGAAAGTGATTTAACGTAATTCATAACAACATTAGTCATATTATATGTATGCAGAAGTAGAGATAGAAAAAAGCTTCAATGGACACATTTTACATAAACTTAAATGCCATTAATGCCAATTCTGAAAGACATCAAGAGAATTCCATTGTTTTATGAGTAATATCATTTCTTCACATGGCTTAATTACCTGAGAAAAGGCAGATCATTGGGGTTAATTGATAAATATGTATATAAAATATGCTTTAAAGTTAAGGACAGTAGCTGGTTTGTATTAAACTGAGACTACAAATAGGAAAGTTGGCTTTATTATTACTATCTATACCTAGGAATTATCAGTATTCTTTTATAATTATTTAATATTTAGTCATGAGAATAACTGTCCTCAGCCCATTTCATTTTGAAAATTAGCTCTTAAAACTTGAAAGCAAATTTGTGGCGTTAGTCCTATCAGTTCTGCAATAATCAGTACTCTCCATTTTTGTGTTCCTGGAATGTAAGTACAGAAGCCTGTAGAGTAGGAAAGTTCATTCATCTGGCTAGAAATGATCACCTACCTATGTCACATTAAGATGGGGGTGCTTAAGGTGAAAAAATAGCCTCTGACTTATTTTCTGCCTTCATGTTTACTGAACTTTTAAATGAATGGGACCTAAGCTACATGGAATGGTGAGCCTATTAGAAACATCCAGGTCCAGTTGTCACTTTTGAAAAGGAAATAGGGAAAACAGTGGTGATTCAATGCCAAAAAACCTAAATAACATGGTAAATATAAATTGGGCTGTGTGACATGTGTTTAAGAAATTGTTTACTAAAAAGAGAAAAAAGTTTAGAAATAATGAATTTGTGAAAAGATTCTGTGGGAAAGTTCTATGTTTGTGTCTTTCCAGAAATACAGTAATCAGGCATGAAAAAATAAACTTGACATAGGAAAAATTTAAAATGTAAAGTAAACCAATTTATTGACCAAAATTATATTAAAAAGAAACTGACTACAAGATGCTTTAAAATCTTCAACTTTTCCCTCTAGGAACTAAAAAAAAAAATTCCCAAAGGGTTTCAGTATACAGAAAAATGTAGTGCTGCTCCTGTTAATATTGTGCTTAACTTAGATAATTATGGGCATTACCGTAATTACTCTTTGAAATATACTAAAAAATTAATACTTTGTACTAATATAAGGAGACATTATATAGAGAGAAAGATAAACGGATGTATAGATATAGAGATATGAATGTGCGTAATCTATATCTTTATATAACTGATAATTTAAAAATAATATGTATTTTCTCTACTAAGCTGCAACATGGGAGCCCAAAATTCTAAATGAGCTGTGCAGACAGCAATGGACCTTGTAAATGAGCCCCTGCATGCAGAGTGAACAATTTTACCCCTGCCATTCACTGAAGCCACATGCATTTATGTAGTGCTATTCCTGTGTTGAAGTCATGCTACTTCTCACAATTATAAACATGGAAAGAAATATTACATGTCCAGGGTATTTCAAGATTTTTTTTGTTTCAATAAAATAATTACTGTTTTCCTTGGAACTATAGCTGATTTTAGCAAATCCCTAAGCAAAACTGTAAACGACTGATAAGTAAATCCAAGTATCTTTACAAAAAGATTTTAATGTATAGATATGGTTTTATCTTCCTATCAATTTGTATTTCATCTTTCCCCAAGGAATACATGTAGCTTTTTACTCTTTCCCATCTCAATTTGATTAAATATTTATTGCTCTTGTGAGGTAGCTAAGTTTCACAAAACTGTACTCATTAAAACTTAAAATAGCATCTCATATATTGATGAATTCCTCTTTCAAACTTGTGCCTCTAGAAACAGGTAAAGTATTGGTGATTTATTACTGAAAAGAATGTAACTACTGCTGTTCATTTCTAATGAGATGTATCAGAAATGGATTTCAGATACTATATAAAGAATGTAATTTGAAATAAAGATTATTACTATTCATAGAATCATATTAAAAATAAAAATGAGTTATCACATATTTCCAGTGTTTTCTCTCAACTTTCTAATACTCATAACTACCAAAAAATAATTATCTTTAAAATGCTCTAGAAGTGTTAGGTCTTTCTAAGGTATTGGCCTATATAGAGAAAACAGTTATTTAGTCAGTGAAAGAGAGAAGATAAAAAGAAAAAACATTGAAAATGTGGTGACCTTATAGGTTGATAACATTGAAAAAAATAGTCTCACAGAAGTGATATTTTATAACTAAAAAGAAATTTATATTAAATCACCTGTATAAGCAATTTGTGTTAGGAAAAAATAACCTATAAAGTTTCAGTATCTTTCTACAAAAATTTTATTTTGTATACTTCTCAAAAAAAGGGTTCACACAATGATCTGAAGTTCAGCTGTGGCTTTCCTGATCTTGGGCTGCTCAGTGAAATTCATGTCTCTTTTTAGGGTACGGGCTGAAGAAAACTGTCAGTTTCAATTAGTATCTGGGGTGTATTATGTTCTCGGTTCAGCAACAGAGTTCAGGAGTAAAAACCAACAATATTAATCTCATCAGGTACACCAGCACTTCATGTCCGTGATATGCTGACATGTCTGGCATCAATGGGACAGGGGGAGCCACTGAAAAATTTACACCTCAAAAGAATGGGTATTTATACAAAAAAAAGAAAATAAAAAATGAGGCAATAACACAATCTAGTACATCAATCCTATAACTATTTTAAAAAATAGCTTAGAATTAAGCAATTCCAAATAACTTTGTGTACATTCTTTCTTAAGTTTCAATATTTATAAACAATATAGCTCTGGGCCTTTTAAAGTAAAATGCATTTTAACTTATGTGAAACATAGAAATCCAATTAATACTTTGTGGTTTTTATTCCAATGAATTTCCCCTATTGGGAATTCAGCTTGTCAGGATGCTGTAGACTTTTATTTTTGCTTAAATTAATATTGAGTAAAGAAATATCCCAAAATATAATCTTCTTATGTGGAAAAAAAGACTCAAGTGTAAAGCAGACTCTCACAGAATACTAATAGCAAATCTGTTTCATACAGAATGGCATAAAAATATACCATTACATCCACTTCCTACTAGCATCCTCTTTTAGATGTTATGATAACTTTTGTGGATGTCCAATGATAAAATTTACCACAAATTGTAGCTGATTTATTTTAACACAAGTAATGCCTAAAATGTCTAAGTGGTGCAATGAAAAATAAGCATAACTATTAAAAAACTAAACTATCCTTGAAATTTTATTGACAATCTTTAGAAATATACATTTGTAGGCTCATTGTAATTACATAATGTAATTGGACTGCTTAAAAGTGAAAGGGTATACACATCCTTTAATCAGTCTAGAAAGGTCACACCTGAATTGAAAAAAAAATAGTATTATAACAAGTTGAACTCATGGGAAGCATTATGAGTGGGATTCTTTCCATTTGCAATACTGTACTGGAGATGATAAAGAACATTCAAAATCTTCCTTAACTCAATGAGCTTATTAACTAACCATATAACGTGATATTTCTTAGAACAAGAAAATCGATCATTTCTGCTCATATAATCTGATATGGTCATAATTGTGAAGACATTCTGCACATGATTATTTAGGCTTAAGTATGAATAAAGATTCCATTTAAGTATATGCATTAAGTATATGTGGATTTCCACATAGATTGAAAAAAGGTTTTATGGATGGGTGAATCTTGTTCAGCAACTGTGGGTAGCTAAAGAAATATTAGCCATGGACAGGTAGGTGTTGTCATGGATGAATATCTTCATCAACAGACCATAAGAGCAAATTAAATGCTACATTTTACAATTTTAGTTATCACATTGATTTTTCAAGCTGGCAGCTGGTAATACCCAGAGGAACCAGGCATTCTCATGTTCACTTCCTTTAGAAAAAATGTGTAGTACTTTCAGTAATGCTGGTTCAAAGCCGCCAAACTCCAATAAATCTCATATGCAAATAAAATTGCGATATTATTTGTGATTTTTAAGAACTGGGATATAGTCTTTTGAGAACTTCTGGAAAAAATGTAAAGCAATTTGTTTCACTAATTAGCACGACACCACATGTACTTGACTCTCCCACAAGCAACTCAAACCATCATGTTTAAAACCGAGTCCATCACATGTGGGACATTTTTATACTAATTAAAATACAAAATTTGCTTTTATATAAAAATGAGTTTGAACTCCATATTATCCAATTAGTCATTATGTAAAAATAGGCAGGCTGCTTTATTTCTCTCTCTTTCACGTATAACTGAAATAGAGCCATTGATACTAAACAGAGCTGGCAATGAAAATGAAATGTAATATTAAAATTTGTAGAGATTTTAACATAGTTCCTGGTATATAAAGATAAATAATTGTTATTAGCTTGGCCTAACTATTGAGAATTTATTATACACTAACCCCTGCTCTATGTTTCTAAAGGTATTAATCCATTTATTCTTCATAGATCACTTTGAGCTACTTACAATAATCAACCCTATTTTACAAAATAAAAATGCAGATAAGTCAATGCCTAAGTTATATATTTGTCAGTAACATCACAATTTGAATCCAGCAGTCTGTCTCCTTTTAACCACTAAAAAACCAAATCCTTGTTGTCTAGAATAAAATGTTATTTACTTAAAATTTTATTTCCTCAACTATTAAATGGTTTTTGATACATGGCCACAAATTTACTTGTTGAAGTTTACATAAATATATAATCTTCATTATTATAATACATGCAAGTAACCATTGTATATCTAGAGTAGGCAACAAGTACTTTGTATGTGGTTTTGTGTAGTATTCTCAGATTACTTCAGAATATATGTAGTGAGTTAACTTTTTGAACTATTAAAATTTCCAACGTAGGTAACAGATGACATGAAGGTAAAGTAAGCAGCCACATATAGAGTGTATCTCTGACAAGAACTCATTAATCTGACATAGTGCTTGCTTTCCCAAATTTGAAAATCTATCATTCTGAATTAGAATTCAGCTGATATTTTTAGAAGATTAATATATCGTTATTATTTTATTTCAAAAAATGTTGTGCTTTTTCCAACTTTTAATTCCATGTGTTATAATTCATCAATATCACTATTATTTTTGATGTTTAAATTGTCCCAAATTTGGCCAAAGCAAGCTTCTTCCAGCTGGCACTGGAGTTCTGTCATATTCCCATCTGGTGTTTTCAGAATACTTAACAGGCTAAATTTGAAGCTACACGGAGAAAAAAATGATATTTTTCAACACATTTAGTATAGCAAAGAATCCAAAATGTCCAAAAACCTTCAAATTATTGTCAATAGAAAGCAAGACTTAAAAGTAATTCCTCATACATTCTTAATATTGCTAAAATATTTTGAAGAGAACATTACTAGTGAGAACAATTAGAGTAACACGACTTCAGGGTTAAAGTTACTCTTATACTTCATTTTTCTATATAAATGTAGTAAATATAATTTCCAGTAGAGAATGTTGAAAATTTTAAGAAATAACATTTTGGTATAAGATCCATTTACTTTTTAAAATCTGACTTGTTTGGTTTAAAGACTTGCCTTCTAAAGAAAATACATATTTGCAGTTTAATTATTCAATTAGTTAAGATGGATAATTATACTGAACTATACATTATCAAATTAGATTATTCTATAAGAAAAATGTCCAATAATATTCTGAGTTCATTAGTATTAATGCTATTTACCACGACCACATCATATAAAGTAGGTCTTTCAACCTTGACCTAACTGAAGACAACGTGAATTAAAAAGCTTAATGAAGTTTCAGATATATGTGTAATTTTTTTCTGTAAAGCACATTTAACATCATGAGTAAATCTTCCCAATATTTTGTCTGTGTCTTTACTTTTAGAATGTATGTGCATTGTCTGGGAGGCTGTTCTACTGGTCTCATAGGCTCCCACTTGCAGCTACGTTAATCTGGTGGATGAACTGGAGGATCAAAGGTGACCTCACCCGGAAGTGTCACACACGATAAAATATGACATGTCAGGAAACAAATTTGTTGTATCATCTCATTTACTGGCTGGCTTACTTCACACTTACAAATTTCCCACAGCACTTGCTGCAATATGTGTAATTCTTGCAAAGCACCTGAGTAATTTCCTATGATATTTTATCTCTATGGCACTGTGTTCTATTGTATTGTTTTATTCTGCTATGTTCTTTTCCAGTCTATTCTTTATTAAAATGCAAATTTAAAAACAGTGAGCACAACCCACTTACTTGGGTTCCTGCTTCACTAATGAGCAACAAAAATCAGCTAGGCAAACACTAATATGAAGGATTTATGCATCTTCATAGGAGTATGCTACTTTTAAAAAAGCCAGAAGGTGTGTTGGTTTTGTAGAGGCGTTGAAGGAAGAAACAAAATGATATCAAAATGATATCAAAACAGACAATTAATTATACATTAATTGAGTGTCCTATTTTGGAAGAGTTCAAGTTGATTTTGGAAGGCATGTGAAAACACCGAAGTGACAGTACAAGATTACTTACCAGATCTCTGTGTGATACCTGCATATTATACAAAAATATCCATTCATACCCAAACATATTGATGACATTCTTTTCTATCCTCTGTTGTTGAGGGCTCAACGTTTATTGGACTCTTGTCAAGTTTCCTTCCAGTACCTCCTTGGGCGAGCATAAGTTATTTCATGGGATATCTCATTGCCCTTCTCCCTTTTAGATTTCCCATATACATATTTCTATATGGTCAAGTTATTGTTTTGGAAGGAAGAAATTTGGGATCTGAGGCAATCAATTTTTGGTTCTTAGTTCTTTGATAATAAACTTAATTCTTATTGGTTTGACTCCAAGTGTGTGAAAATCACATATATTATTTGGAATACATGATTTTGTAAATATATAGGTGTTTGCTAATAAATCTTATAAACTAATTCCTCTGTTAATGCCTTTATACATTTGGTTCTACATTTTCACCTCGAGAGTCTATGACTTCTTATTATCAAAAATATAACTAAATCAACTTTTATATAGTGTTTACTCCATATTAAATAATAGCCACTCATTTTTATGTAGTGTCCACATCAAAAACAGAAAAATAGATTCAAAAAATAACATTGACTTATATCATGTGAGGCTTTGCAGGTAGCAAATGTGAAGGGGATTTACAAAATGAAGGACTTTGAGATGATGACGGTTATAACATTAAAAAAGGGAAGTACACCAATGCATGAGTGATAGGGGAAAAATGAATAATATTTTTACATCCTTCACGTATCTACTCAAGGCCATATTTAAATCTGAATTAATTGTAAATTGTTATTAATAAGAATTTGCTTAGCTTTTATTATTAACTTTCCATAGAAGGTGAGTTCTGAGTCATTGCAGTGGGGAGAACTATAAGAGTTCTTCTGGTCTCACTTCTCCCCTTACTTCCTTGCTCATAACATCAAGGAGATGGCTAAGAGGATTGGTGGATCCGCTAAGAAGTTGGCGTCAAAGGCTATTATGTTTGGCCAGTAAGTGATGGAAACATAGGATCTAACTGATCCTTCTATGCTCACAGGATGCAAAGAAATTCACACATACACAAGCACATGCACACACACTTCTCTGGGTGCAGAAAATATGTTTATATTTCATGCAGATTTAAACAAAATATGATATTTAACTTTCTCACAAATAGGCCAAAAAATCTGAACTTGAAAAAGGAATGGGCAGAAAAAGAGGAAGTATATTTAAGTACTATCTTTCTTTGTAATGTATCCCAAATCTCTGGATTTTGGATCACTGGACGCATGTCTCCTTTCAGTTGTTTAGGAAATCCGAAGAGAAAAATATCATTATTAGCATCACTAAACTTTCATTTTTTTTTTTTTTTGGCTATAGACTGAATGTTTGGGTCTCCTAAAATTTCAAGTGTTGAAGCCTAGATTTCCAATGTGAAGTTATTAGAAATAGAGCCTTTGCTGGGGCAATTAGATCATGAGAGGGAAGCTTTCATGAAAGGGATTGGTGTCCTTATATGAAGAGACTTGAGAGAGATGATCTCTCTCTTTGCACCATGTGAGGACACAAAGAGATAACAACAGTCTACAAACCAGAAAATGGGTCCTCAGCAGACAACAGATCTGGCATTGTCTTGATCTTAGATTTTCCAGCTCTAGAACTGTGAGAAATAAATTTCTACTGTGTAAGCCACGGAATCTGCAGTAGTATGTTCTAGCAGCCCAAACTGACTAAGGCAGTAATGGCCTGTAACTACCCTAACAAAAAAAAAAATGAAATGTTCATTTGTTCTTCAAAATTTGAGAATTTTGTCATATTCCTAGGAATGCTGATTTTATTGGTAGCAAAAGTAATGAATAGGTTTTTAACTCTTAAAAATGTATTATCCATTTATGTGATTACTAAAAATGACTGTAAAACTTATTTAGGCAGGTGAGTTTGTAAAATTATAGTTAGCACACTATATAAATGGAATCTCAGTCAGGAAGTGGGCAATGATAATTTGCAATTTATTTCTGTGAATAGTACAGGTGTACAAATTTTAATTACTATAATCTGAATTAATTTCTAACTGAACATTTCTCTATCTTTTATTGCTAAAATAATTCATATGGAAATTTTTATCTGCTGTAAAAATCATAGGTTGATCTCATACCTACCACTTGATTTTTTTGTAGCAACCAAAGTCAATTTATGTGGTGATGTATAGTAGTATTACATAATTAGTACTTTTACAGTGTTGAAGGAAAGAAACTTGTTAAATGGCACAAGAGTTCAAAGGACAAGTCTGATTTTGAAAGCAGAAGCTATTTTAATTGATTAGCCTTTATATCATTAGCAGAGCTTATTATTGTTTTTCAAAGGCTGGCAGGGAGAGGGAGGAAATAAATTTCTGGTAATGATATTGTTGACATCGTTTTTGTATGTTTGAATAGACATAGAAATCAATAGATTTACAAGTCAGCAGACTAGTTTGTAACACCTTAATTTATGCAACTCTTTGTGAGTTTCCACAAAAAAAGTCTCCCCTTAGATAATGACAGTTAAAATATCCTCCCTTTGAAGTAAGTCTAGGGATACATGAAACGTGAAAGAAGACATTTGGTCTATAATACTATACAATATTATAAAAATAGATAAATTTAAGAACAATATTCAGCAAACAAATACAGTGAAACAAAAAATAAATTTACAAATACAGGCCATACACTCTCATTATACTCATGACCATATATTCTGGAAAAATACATGCAATGAGGCTCTGAGAGATTTAAATCTCTGTTCTCTGCAGTTGGCCTTAGTTCTATGAGCTCACATAGTGTGATAATATTGCCACCATAAATGTGGCTCTAAGCATTATATTTCATATTACATGGCTTCTAAACATAAATTTTAAGAGTAATTTTGACTTAGTGTGACTTTGAGCAACTAAACACGACAGAATACACAACCTATTTTTCATTATCTCTTCCAAACATAGAATTTACAAAAAAATGAATTAGAAGAAAAGGCAAAATAGAAAGAAATAAATATGTGTAAGTTGACAGTATAGTATATAAACAAACAAAATCCTCTAAGTAATTACATAAAAAATTATATTTCCTGAATATGAACTACAGATTTGAACTTATTAAAAATTTAGCATCACATATATTTGGAAACTAATGAAAGTTGGTAAATGGACAAATGCTAAGAATTAAAGTAAACCTATACATTGGCAAATATAGACTAACATAAATAGCACTGGGCATGATCCACAAATATATTTCACATTTGTAATTAAGCAAAATATTTGTGACATGAATAGTATGCACTTAAAGTAGGCTTTTCAGTTTACATTTTTACTTTTAAGTAAAAATTGAAAAAGACTCAAAGAAAAATAGATATATTAACAATCTTATAATGAAAGATAACAATCTCATAATGAAGGAAAAGGCAAAAACCAAGCAAGGGAAATTAGAATTTGACTAATATGATTAGCTAAGGCTAGAGAACAAAATACTAGTTATTTTCCAGGGTAAAACATACGCATTATATTCCCATAATAATGTGCATAATAAAAATTGCTCACAAAACAGGAAAAATAAAAATCTCACTAAGAAAAATCATTTTATCCTCGATACATGATACAATAAAATTAGTAAACAGCAAATGCAAATTTGTAGTGGAGGATAGGGACATTTATTGGCAATTTAAGATTAAAATATATATATATATAATATTACGAAAGAAAGTTTGCATTTTTGAGTTTCACAATGAATGTTCTTACTTTTGCCATTTGATCTGGAACCCAGAACTGATCTAGTCTGGGCAATTAGCCTTAGTGAGTAGCTGATGCAAGTGCATACATTTGTTTTTATGTTAAGCCCTCTCCCTTTCTATCTAAAGAGAAAATCCTGTGATTGCTCCAGTGACTGAAACTTAACTGAACTGCAACATAATTAGAAGATGTCAAGGCTGTCTGGTGTTCTTGGTTTTATCCTGATTTGACAAAGAGTTTAAATTTAGCTATACTAAGAATATAATTCAAATAAATTTAAGGTTAAATAATCCCGATGAACCTATGTTTTGGATTATTCTGCTGCAGAATACTTCACATTGCCATGGTTTGAATGTTTGTTTCCCCCCAAAATCCATATGTTTAAATCCTGACGCTCAATACAATGGTACTAGGAGGTGGCACCTTTGGGAGATAATTAGTTCATAAGGATGAAGCCCTCATGAATAGGATTAGTGCCCTTATAGAAGGCCCCAGAAAGCTCTCTCATCCCTTTTACGATATGAGTACATAGTAAGAAAGGACCATTTATGAGGAACAGGCTGTCACTAGCCGTGAAATCTGATATCACCTTAATCTTGGACTCCCAAGCCTCCAGAACTGTGAGAAATAAATTTCTGCTTTTTATATGCCACCCAGTCTATTATATTTATTATAGTACCCTGAACAGACTATGACATTTATACAGTAGGACTAAAGGGTAATTGATATATTCATTCGGAAAATATTTATTGAATACCTCCATACAAATTTCAGATGTTTGGATAGTTTAAAAGCCTCACGATACCCCACAGAGCATAATCACAGGAGACATTTTTTTAAGGCATAGGTTCAGGAACAGAAAGGGCAATAAAATGCAGGCAAACATTAAGGAATCACAAACAGTCCACTGCAAATCTCCAGTGTCTTTATTCTGACATTGATCATCAAGGTCTCTACAAAGAATTTTGGCTATGGGAGATCTTAAAAGATAAGTTCCCACTGGTGTGGTGATTTTTATTCCTTTTTGATCATGTGGACATTCCGACTTGTCTAACAGGTAGGCCAGTTTAAAACCATCAGTAAACAAATAGTCCCATGGTGTTTCCAGCTTTAGATAGCCACTGGGATGGTTAATTTTATGGATTAAAATTAACTTTTAATCTTTGTGAATCATAAAGCCCACTACCCTTGACTTGGCCACAGACAAACCCAGATATTCAGGAGACCCCAGTGATATCCAGCTGTATGTCAAGTCTATTCTACACTCCTACAATGTGCAAAGCACTCTTCTAAACCCAAGTGGTAAAGAAGCCAAAAAAAATTGAATTTCCTTGTATACCTGTAATAAACAAAATAAATAGGTTAAATAAGTAAGTATATATTAAGCCAGATAGTGATAATGCCATAGAGAACGATGTAAGAGACTACACACACACATATACACACACATGCACATACACACTGTATATAGACTATTTATATATATATTTTATATATATATATATATATATATATATATATATATATATATATAAAATATTATGGAATACTACTCATCCTTAAAAAAATAAAATAAAATGGCCAGTAATCCCAGCACTTTGGGAGGCTGAGGCGGGCAGATCATGAGGTCAAGAGATCGAGACCATCCTGGCCAACATGGAGAAACCCCACATCTACTAAGAATACAAAACTTAGCTGGGTGTGGTGGCACGCGCCTATAGTCCCAGCTACTCGGGAAGCTGAGGCAGGAGAATCACTTGAATGAGGGAGGTGGAGGCTGCAGTGAGCTGAGATCTTGCCACTGCACTCCAGCCTGGTGACAGAGTGAGACTCTCTCTCCAAAATAAATAAATAAATAAATAAAGTCTTTTGCAACAACATGGATAATACTGGAGGCCATTATCCTAACTGAAATAACTCAGAAGCAGAAAATAAAAAAACCTTATGTTCTCATTTATAAGTGGGAGCTCAACAATGGGTACACTTGGCCATATTGAGTGGAACAATAGACCTGGGAGACTCCAAAAGGTGGGAGGGTGGGAGGAGGGTGAGGGATGAAAGATTAGCTATTGGGTACAATGTGCACTATTTGGGTAATGGGTACACTAAAAGCCCAGATTTCAACACTATGCAATATATCCATGTAAACAAATGGCACTAGTACCCTCCAAATCTATAAAAATGAAAAGTAGGATATTTAAAATACACACACACACACACACACACACACACACACACACACACACACGAGAGAGAGAGAGAAAGAGAGATCCAGCGGCCAGAAAGACCTAATTTGCAAGAAGCAAATAAAAATAGGAAGGAATTGAGAGGGTTTGCTTTTTGTCTGGGGAAGAACGTTCCAGACTGAGGAAAGAGCAAGTTTAAGTCTACTGAGATGGAGCATCCTGACTTATTCCATGTACTGGGAGCCAGTGTAGCCAGCAGAGCATGTACAATCGGGCAAGCAGGAGTCGAAGTGAGACAGGCAACTGAAGGCAGATTACATAGGGCCTTTGTAGGCACTTGTAAAGATCTGTTTTTTCTTTGAGTGAGATGGGAGGCTACCGGAAGCTTTTGGGCAGAAGAGTCTTATGTTATGACACACTGGCCAGTATGCTTAAAAATGAAGAAAGCAATGAAGCAAGGCAGGAAATTTTTTGTGGAAACTACACCAATAATTAAGATAATGGGTAATGCTGACTTGTACTTGGGTATTCACAATCTACAGTATATATTTCAAAAACAATATAGACAATCTAGCCCCAAAGTACCTCCAGGGGAATTTCAAACTTTAAACAACACAGTATTCATCACAAGAAGCATATCTCATCCTTATCTTGGCCAAGGGGCAGAAGCAGAGTCGAGAGATAATCATAGAGCTGTCGCAGTCAGATACAAGATCTCTTTTTATTACACAGTCCAAGTTTCTGATTTGGGGACAAGGCTTTTAATTATAAATTGCTCAATACTATCCTATTTCTGCATGTTTGGCACCATTTATAAAACAGAAAAATTGAAAGAAAAAATACCAACATACTACCTTTACTTATAATCCAATGAGATTTTATTTTAAAGAAATATTTCAGTTAACCCACTAATCTAACAGAAAGTTGTGTAAAATCATGCACAATCTTGAGAACTATATTGCTCTTTTTACCTGAATCTTTTTTCTTTTTTTTTATTCACTGTTTTGTTCTTCTCTTAGTGCTTATTCTAAAATTTTATCTTGCATCATTCATGATTTTCTTATAAAGCATAAAGCTAATCAGTATTTTTCTTTTTAGCAAGACATAAACCATAGAATTCTCTATCCTTCTTTAAAACTCCCAGATTACTCTAATTTTTATATTTGTATTGTCTGCCACTTAAATGATTCAACATCATCAAACTGTTGAAATGTATTTATCAGTAATACTTTTATGCCTGCTATTATTATTATTATTATTTATTTTTATTTATTTATTTATTTATTTTTTTGAGACGGAGTCTCGCTCTGTCACACAGGCTGGAGTGCAGTGGCACGATCCAGGCTCACTGCAAGCTCCGCCTCCCGGATTCCCGCCATTCTCCTGCCTCAGCCTCTCGAGTAGCTGGGACTACAGGCGGCCACCACCAAGCCCGGCTAATTTTTTATATTTTTAGTAGAGACGGGGTTTCACCGTGTCAGCCAGGGTGGTCTCGATCTCCTGACCTCGTGTTCTGCCCGTTTCGATCTCCTGACCTCGTGTTCTGCTCGTCTCGGCCTCCCAAAGTGCTGGGATTACAGGCGTGAGCCAGGGTACCTGGCTACTATTATTATTTTTAATCCTTCCTTAAATTTACTGATGTATTCCATCATTTTATTTCCTTTCTATTGTTTCTTAAATCTTGCTCTTTCACTTTTTAAAAAACTGCTCTTTAGTCTTAATTTCATGTTTTACTTACTCCTTCAGAGAGTGCATGGACAATAAAACCTCTTGGCTTTTTTGGCTTTTTGATATCCTATCTATCATACAGTATCTTAATTCTATCTTTACTGTTAAATAAATCTTGAAACACGCCTTTTGCATATCGTTCAACTTTTAGCTAGCTTAACCATTTATGCAAGACTCCTGTTCCTAAAGTTTTTGTAATTAAAGGGGCCTAAGACTTTTAACAGCTATTCCCCAATGACTGTTATAATCTCAGTCTCTTAGACATATACCTGTTTGGCTAACCATGTCTTTAAACAACCTTAATGTTCTAGTCATAGTTTCTTATTTTGGTTTTGGTTTGGTTTGGTTTGGTTTTTGTTTGTTTGTTTGTTTTGTTTTGAGACAAAGTTTCACTTTTGTCGCCCAAGCTGGAGTTCAATGGTGCAATCTCGGCTTACTGCAACCTCAGACTCCTGGGTTTAAGCAATTCTCCTGCCTCAGCCTCCTGAGTAGCTGGGATTACAGGCATGCACCACCACGCCCAGCTAATTTTGTATTTTTAGTAGAGATGGGGTTTCACCATGTTGGCCAGGCTGATCTCGAATGCCTGACCTCAGATGGTCCACCTGCCTTGGGCTCCCAAAGTGCTGGAATTACAGGTGTGAGCTACCACACCTGGCCTAAATTTCTTGTAATTGGAATTTTATTTTATGTTTTTCCCTGCTCAGTGTGTTTTGTAACTGAATAGTGTGCTTCTTATGGATCAGCATAACTTTTATTTAATAAAAGTTCATTAATAACAACTTTTAATTAAGAAATTTTTTAATTAATAAAAGTTAATTAATACAGTTTAATTTTGACTGAGAAGGCCAACCATTGCACATAATTCACTAAAAAGTAATGCTCTAATTAGCTACTTGTAAATCATTAGTTACATAGTAAATTCCTTAAGGATAAGACTCCTATTGAATGTTGACCTTCCAGCCTAGCACAGTTCCAGGCCAAAAATAGCACTTGATACACATGAAAGGAAATGAATGTTTTTGAGTGATGCTCAAGCAAATACCAAAGGACCATTTATCAGTGGTCACTGATATTTTTGAGAGAAATATAGAATTATTTTCTGTTTCCAGCAACCAAAACTGTCTTAAGCATAAAAATATAAATATTTTTTGAGAGAAATATATTTTCGAGATAAAGTATAGAATTATTTTCTGCTTCCAGCAACCAAAACTGTCTTAAGCATAAAAAGTTATTAAAACTGAATTTAAAAATTATGACTATTAAAGCATTCAAATTGATTCAACAGTACATTATTATACTTAGAACATTTCTTCAGTAGATATATTATTCTTATCATAGTACATTACAAATTAATCCCAAAATTATCCTCTAGAACATATGTGATTGAAAAATGAGGACAGTATCAGGTAATATAAGATGTTTAAAGGGAATTTTAAGAAGCATCTTGAACCACATGAAAGGAGATAATTTTACACTAACTCATATGAAATGAGTTTGGTTCAATTATTTTGTTTCTGTAATAATCTCTTCATTCAGACATATACGGCTGTAATTTCTTATAAAGCATAAACTAGTAAAGACATTACTTAAAAATTCATTCTCCAAGTTTTAAATATCTATATAAACAGTTATTTATTTCAGTACTATGTGAACTTGCTGTTTTATATTTTATAGGCCTAGAATATTAATTGATCAAATACTGTTAACTCTCTAATACTTTTCAATTTCTTTATTCCTTTTGAAATATATACATATATAGAATGCATATATATTCTGATACTAAAATTTATCTGTAATATATTAAAATACTATACTCAAACATGTTCTTATAATTCTAATTTATTTCTCAAAATCAGTTTTATTTTATTTTATTTTTATTTATTTATTTTGAGATGGAGTCTTGCTCTCTCACCCAGGCTGGAGTGCAGTGGAGTGATCTCATCTCACTGCAACCTCCGCCCGAGTTCAAGTGATTCCCCTGCCTTCTCCTGCTTCAGCCTCCCTAGTAGCTGGGATTACAGGCACATGCCACCATACCTGGCTAATTTTTGTCTTTTTAGTAGAGATAGGGTTTTGCCACGTTGGCCAGCCTGGTCTCGAACTCCTGACTTCAGGTGATCCACTCTCCTCGGCCTCCTAAAATGCTGGGATTACAGGAGTGAGCCAGCATGCCCAGCCTTCTAAACCAGTTGTAATTTTTATTGAAAAATATATAGAATTAAATTTCTTCAATTATATCAAATTTTTGTAAATGTAGCCTAAATTTTATGTTCATAGAAATTAGAAATTCTATTGTCTGCCTACTTTTAATATAAAAATTACTTTTTACAAAAACAATTAAGGCTATTTCATAATGAGAATGCCTTTGATTGTCATAGACACACATGCACACATACACTTCAATAAATGTATTAATACCTTTGAATACTATCCATTTTTTAATTCATAGCATCATTCTATGTAGCCAAAAAAAATCATTGTAAAATTATCTGTGAGTCATATTATTTGTTTTGGTTATATCCAATGCCCTATGAGCTTATAGATGTGCATACCACTTATAATAAACTCCCAGGGTCTTCCAGACATAAATAACTGCATAAAGTAACTCCAACCTGAATTAATTAAAAATAGATATTAAATGGAAAACCAACTAAATCCGTAAGACATCAGGTAATTGCAAGTGTGCCATAAGTAGGCAACATATTTGAGGAATTTCTTGGAAACAGAAATAGAAAAGAATGAAAACCGACTGGTTAATTTAAAGCATATTCTCAATCTTAAAAACTTTAGGAAATTATTCTTTTCAGTGAAAGCAATTTTGAAAAAGAAACTGCAAGAACTCTGAGCCCCACATTATTGAGGGAGAGTTACAAAATTAGGTCATGGAGTGTTTTACAAAACCCCATGGGAAGCCAGACTGGTCATCTCATCCTCTTCCCCCATAAGTTTAAAGCTCCTTGCTGCAAAAATTCATACAGGGGTAAGAATTAGAGAAAAACAAAAGTGGCATCTAGTGGCTCGCCAGCTCTGATGTCAGCTCCCAGCCAAAATATTACTTAAGTATATTTCTTTGTCTAAGTCCCAGTGACTCACACAGAGATTCCTATGTTGATTCCTTCAATTAATTAATTGTTAGCTTACATATTTATTGAATGCTTATTATGTGCATCATACTCTTTTAAGTTCTTTCTATATATTAGCATGCAAAACAGTAATCCTTGCCTTCATGGAGCTTATATTTAGCAAGAAACAATGAAAATGAACAAAAAGAAAATAAATATGCAAATTGACTTGTGTGTTAGAAAGTTGTGAATGGCAAGGATAGAAGAAAAAGGTAGTGCATTTTGAGGAGGTTTTTGGTGTGAAAGCACTGTGATGGTAGAATATAATATTACAAAAGGTGGTTAGGGTAGGCCTCAGAGAATTGAATGTATAGCGAAACCGTGATGATAATAGAGAAAGCCAAATAGATGTGAGGTTATACAACATTGTAAATGTATTTAATGCCACTGAATTTTACACTCACAGGTGATTAACATGGGAAATATTATGTTAACATATATTTTACCTCAATAAAAAGAGCCATGAAGCCACAAAAAATGCATGAATAAATAATAAATGCATATTGCTAAATTATAAAGCCAATCTGAAAAGGTTAAATACTCTATAATCCCTATTACATGACATTCCAGAAAAGGCAGCATATAAAAGTGATTAAAAAGTCAGTGGTTGCCAAGTGACAGGGATGGGGAGTAGAGAGGGGTGATCAGGTGAGAGACAGAATTTGAAACTATTCTATATGAGATTTGAAACTATTCTATAAGGGTTTTGAAACTTCTATATACTGTAATTGTATATACAGTATATATAATTGTAATTGTATATACTATATACTGTAATTGTATATACAGTATATAGAATTGTAATTCTATATACTGTAATTCTATATACTGAATACATAACACTATGCATTTTTCAAAACACTTACAGCACAGGGTGAATCTTAATTTATACTCTTTAAAAGTCATTTAAGAAGTCAGCAGAAGCCCAGCATGAAATGCAGACTGTGACAAGAAAAAAAAATTTACAAATCTGTAACACAAACTCAATGTAGTGAGTGGAGAGAAAAATTTCTGACCAGACAGCATTGCAAATGAGTTGATTTTAAGACAAGGAAAACTATATACAACTTTTAATACAACTTTATCAGCTATAAAGTTAGCCTGTTACTAACTTTATAATACTTGGCCTATTACTAACACCTGATACAGCTGATACAACTTTATCAGCTATAAAGTTGTATTAAAAAGGTTATAGTTAAAAACATTGATAGTGCTATCATGTACATTGGAATTGTACAATTAAATGTAAATGAATCATTTGTGATGAGAGTCATGCTTCTCACAGTTTGAGCAGGAATTCATGGATGAGCAAGAAAAGAAGGCTAGAATCCTCCATGAAATAATGGATTACAATTGGAGACCTCGGTATGAATTTATATCTAGCTTACTACAGATACAGATAGGTATATATAGAAATGTTTACACATATATGTTGTTTTAGTCTATTCTCATACTGCTATAAAGAACTACATGAGACTGGGTAATTTTTGAAAAAAAAATTGAATTAACTCATAGTTCCACAGGCTGAGCAGGAAGTATGGTTAGGGAGGCCTCAGGAAACTTACAATCATGGCAGAAGGCAAAGGGGAAGCAGGCAGATCTTCACATGGTGGAGCAGGAGAAAGAGAGAGTGAAGAGGGAAGTGCTACACACTTTCAAAGCATGAGAACTCACTTGTTATTATGAGAACAGAAAGGGGGAAATCCACCCCCATCATCCAATCACCTTCCACCAGATTCCACTCCCAACATTAGGAATTACAATTCAACATGAGATTTGGGTGGGAACACAAAGCCAAACCATATCACATGTATATACCAGAGTTAGTATACAAACATGTATTTCCTTTCTCTGTTAGCTGAGAGGGCCTGGAGCAAATATCCCTGTAGCAAGGAGTATACTTATTACCCAGTTCCTGCTTTGTGATATCTTTCTCCAATCGAAGGAACCAGTATTTCTTGGAGAAATGACTGATTGTAGCACTAGAACAGGAAACATATACACAATGAGTTTGGAGCACCTCAGATTCCTTGTAGTGCCAGAAAATAAGAAATTCCTCAAAAATAAACAATCAAGAAATGTTAGAAGGATAGATCAAAGCAGCACAAGAGCCAGCTGAAAGAGCTCCTAGAACAACTTGAGCAATAAAACAAATAAATTAGTATTAGTTTATAAAACAAAATATAAAATAAAATAAATATTTATAAGTCCATAATTATTTGAATAAATAAGTGGGAAGAAGAGACATTTCACATGCAGAAGAATTACAAATAATTCTTATACATTTTCTGTCCTCCTGGAGATGGGACATAACTCCCTACTCTTTAAGTTGGGACTATGCATGGATATTTCCTTCTCAGGGGTACAGTGTGAAATGGAGGAATAAGAGTACCTTGACTTTGATAATCAAAATAAAAATGCCAAACAGTATCTCATCTGGACAGTCAGGTTTAATATAAATTGTGGTAAGACAATGACAATATGTACCCTTGATAAGATAGAATGCCAATGGCACTTCATCTCTGTTGCATTCCTGTGAATTACATATAAACCCAGTTTAATGATGAGAAAAAAACAACAGACATATTCAACTTCAGGGACATTCGATAGAATACTTGGCCTGTTACTAACACCTGTGAAGGTCACCAAAAACAAGGTAAGTTTGAGGAAATGTCACAGCCAAGAGGAACCTCATGGGACACAATGATTAAATGAAAGTCGTAACCGATGAGATCTTGGAAGAGAATAATAACATTAGGCAAAAACCAAGGAAATATGAATAAAGTATGGACTTTAGTTGATGGCAATGTATCAATATGCTTGTATTAATTATAACGATTGTACTTTATTAATGGTTGACATTAATAATAGGGGAAACTGAGTGCGGGCTTTCTGACATATCCCTGTATTCTCATCACAAATTTTCTGTAAATCTAAAACTATTTAAAGATGAAGTTTATTACTAAAAAGTTAACAAAGTGGCAGTATATAAGTTCAACAAAGAAATTTCAAATAGAAATTTTAAATTTATAAATAAAATCATGGAAATTGAAATGTCTTGTTCAACAGCATAAACAATTATATAGTACCTTATAATAAAATTTAAAAGTACAAAAACTGTACATAGAAATTTGAAACATTAAATAAGACCTAATAAATAAAGGTATATATTAGGCCTTGATATGCTTTAATAAAACAATATTTGATATTGATTTTTTCCTATGAAATGTGTCTAAGTATATTATTTTATTTGATTCATTAAGAATTTTGTAGTTATCTTTTTGCTATATATATATTTTTTCTTTTCTGCAACCAGAAAACATATTAAGGCCAGCTCTTGATTGGTTTTAATCAGTCTTCCATATGCCATTAAAACTAATTTAGACTCTATCATTGTTATTTGCTATGTAATATGTATGCAATGTAATATATGAGTCAGTTTTGTTCTTTTGCTCAGATATTTTATGTTTTTGATTAAATTTGTCTGGTTATTCCATCTGTTGTTAAGTGGATATTTTTTATTATTAAACAATAATATTCTTAATTTAGCACCTACATCCTTAATATATTATTTCTGTTATTTAATTCTACTGTAATTTCATTGTGCCAAAGTCTTCAAATGTCTTTAACATTCTTGTCTTAACCTTTTGTCTTGACTTTGTGCCTCTCCAAAAACTAAGTGGATCTGTATCTTGTAGCTCTTTCAGCTGAAGTCATTGTTATTATGCTACGTATGCAATGGAAAGGCATGAGGGAGAAGGTTTTATAATCTTCCACTTAAATCTCAGTCTTTCAGTGGGCCTCGGTCTCACGTCTATGGCCTTTGCAAGTGTTTCTCCACTGGTATAACTATTTTCCCCCCTTGCCTCATATTCTGTTTCATGTCTGCAGAATTCTGTTTTCTAAATTTATTGAGGTATAATTGATATGCAAAGAATCCCACATGTTTAATGTACCCAATTTAATGTGTTTGAACATATGTAAACATCCATGATACAATGATCATAATCAAGATAATAGGCATATCCAACACCTCCCAAGGACTCCTTAAGTCCTTTTATTTAAGTTTGTGTTTCGCTTTGCTTTGTGTTTGTTGTAAGAACACTTAACCTGAGAGTTATTCTGTTGATAGCTTTTTCAGAGCATAACACCACATTGTTAGCTTTAGGCACTAGGTTGAACAGCAAATCTCTAGAATTTCTTCATCTAGCATCATTGAAACTTCATGTCCTTGAATCCCTGACTCTATTGACTCTGTTTTGCTCCCACCACCTCCAAGAACATAAGCCGGGAAGGCTCTAAGGACCCGGGGTAAGAGGATTGCCATTCTTCCTCTTAGGAAAAGACCCAGGCAGTCTGTCCCCAGAGAGTATGTCTTATTATGGAGAAGGATTTGGGAAAATTGATTAACAATTACTTTTGTCATCGCCTTGTCAAAGCAATAAGGGAAATTTCCTGGGAACTTCCTCATGAAAACCTAGTAAGTTCCTGGAAATAAAGTCTCTAAGAGTTTGGGGCCGGGCGCAGTGGCTCACGCCTGTAATCCCAGTACTTTGGGAGGCCGAGGCGGGCAGATCACCTGAGGTCACCTGAGGTCAGGAGTTTGAGACCGGCCTGACCGAACGTCTCTATTAAAAATCAAAAAAAAAAAAAAAAAAAAAAAATTAGCCGGGCGTGGTGCCTGGCGCCTGTAATCCCAGCTACTCAGGAGGCTGAGGCAGGAGATTCGCTTGAACTCGGGAGGCGGAGGTTGCAGTGAGCCGAGATGGCGCCACTGCACTCCAACCTGGGCGACAAGAGTGAAACTCCGTCTCATAAAAAAAGAAAAAAAAAGAGTTTGGGGACCCCTGTAATACTGTGGTTCTGTGGAATTTATTACTTTAATGCTAGTTCATACTTATCTTCCAGTAATTTGCAAATATTAAAATTTTCAGTGTTCCTACTAGTTGAAGACTCCAGTGTCTTTTGATCCAGATGAGCATATCTCAGCTGTGAATTTCTGGATGTGCCTATCTCTCCAGAGCAGGATCATAGTTTTTCCTGAAACCAGAGTTCTCTGAGGAGAAAATTTCAGTTGGTCCACCTTTTCTTTTGGTAAGGACCACAGGAATGACTTCTAAGCAATTTGCCTGTCAGAACTAAAACCAGAAGTTCTACCTTATTATAACTTAAAAATGTTTATGTTTAGCAAGTTCTTGATACTGTTAGAACTTATGAGTCCTTGAAATCTTTTTCATTTTCCTTTTTTGCATTATTGTCATGCATTTTATTTCTACAAATAGTTTAAACCACATAAGACACTAGCATGCTTATAGTGTGTTGATGGTATTTATTTATATTTTCTCATCTTTTCATCCATTTGTGATCTTCATTTCCTCTAAATTTCCATATTTTTATGGGATTAGTATTGTTTTGTGTAAACAAATTTATTATTTCTCATAGTACAAGTTTGATTACAATATATTTGCCTACTTTTTATATGACAAAACAATTGTTTCTGCGCATTCATTTTTGAAGGACAGTTTTCTTTCATGTAGAGTTCTACATTAGTTATTATTGTTATTATTATTTAGTATGTTTTGGATTTTATTGTATTGTCTCCTAAACTTCATTGTTTTGCACAAAAAGTTAGCCATTATTTCTGTTGTTGCTCCATGTAAGATAAAGTCTTTTTTTTTGGTGGGGTGAGTCTCTGTTCATATCGGTTTTATTATAATGTCGGCAGGTGTGACTTACTTGGATGTTTATCTTGCTTGTGATTTGCTGGCATTACTGGACACCATCTCTTTTATAGTTTGTCTGACTGTGTTTATCTTTTATTCTTCTGGGATTTCAATAATAATGTTACAAAACTTGTGCAAATGTCCTAAATGTTACATACACTCTTTTCTGTTATTTCAATTTTTTTACTCTTTTTTTTTTTTTCGGTGACTCAACTTGTCTTACATTCATGTTTCATAATCTTATAATCTGATTTTTGCAAAATGCTATTAAGCCTTTCTTTTAAAAAAGTAGTTATAATTTTTGCTTCAGAAAAGAATCTGTGATTTCTGTATGTAGATTCAAATTTCCTGACATTATTTTTCTATTTTTCCCATTTATTCCTTAATTAACTTTAACATGATTATCCTATTTATGGTATCTGATAATTGAAATGTACTGATTATCTCTGGGATGACACCTAATATCTGTTTTTTTCTTAGTCGTATATTCTTTACTCTTCATATGTCTAAACATACACAGCCACACACACACACTCTCTCTCTCATACACACACACATACACACACACTCAAGATAGAGTGATTTTATTTTCAAATCATAGAGAGTCCCTTTCATTTGCTAGAAAGAAAGCTTGAGGGGTTGAATATCTCCATTTATTCTGTGATTGAACTGGGTCGAGACTGGATTTTACTTTTAATAAGACTTATTTCACCTCTAGTCGTGTCTGTGGACTCATAGCTGAGAATGAAAACCTATCGGGTGCCCTTCTTATCAACACTAAAACTTTGATAAATGTAGTTCTATTTTTCAGAGCTCCTCAGAACAGTTTCTCCAATCAGAAACTAACCTAGTGCTTAATTTGGGAGCTTTGTCCTGGTGAGTCTTTGTTTCCTATGCACTATGCAATGTAAGATGTTGCAAAATTTCTTTTAGAAGCTCGTAAGCCAGCACCTTATGCTCCTTTAATGCCACAAACTTATCAGGTGGTCCTTTGGGGTAAGTTAAAGATGCATTTATGGTCTCTCAAAGATATATTCCCGATTCATGTGATAAAGAAAAGCTTTGCAGTTTCTTTTAGCCCCATTTGGGAGACGCTCCCTTGGTCAAGCCCTACTTTTAGCTTATAATTAGTATAAGCAAATTTCCACAGATGAAAAAGTGGCCAGTTACCATCATCTTTCCTTAGAATTGTTCTCCCTTCCTGGTAATCTTAATTAATTTAGACTTCAATGTGTTCACAGATCTCTGACATATATATATATACACACACACACACACACACTCATTCATTAAATATATAAATAAATTTATATTTATTTATATATAATTATATAAATTATAAATATATCTTTAATGAATGTGATATTTTCTAACGTTTTTAGCAGAAACATTGGCCTATAAACCTACTACTTTTGATCGAGAGGTAAAAGTTCTCTTTCTATTTTAAGTTCAGTAACAACTGGTGTGGTCCCTATTCCTTGACTTAGTAATTCCAAGGATTAGAATATATAACATGAAAGTATTAGGTTGGTGCAAAAGTAATTGTGTTTTTGCCATTTAAAAGTAAAGGCAAATCACCATTACTTTTGCACCAAAATAATATTCAAAAGATATGAAGACATATGTACAAATGTGATTATTGCAGTCATGTTTAAAGTAAAAATTTGAAATATCTATAAGCAAAATCAGTTATTAAGTATGACAATTTAGTACAATTCTCTCTGAGAGAATTCTGTGTTTACATTTAACAATAAACCATATCTATAAATATTAACATCAAAGATAAACATAATGTTAACAGACAAACCTGATGGAAGATTGTAGGGGAGGCTCTGAGAGGTGTTCTCTGTTGCTGGTAATGTTGTGACTCTTGATTTGTGTCTTGGTTATAAAAATGCTAAATTTTGGAAATTCATTGAAATATACAATTATTAATGTTACACTTTTCCATATGCATGTTATACTTTAAATATGTACATATTGTTAAAAATATAGAATGATATCTATAAAAATATAGAATATCTGTAGTGTAATAAAGTATAATAAAGATATAACTGTAGCTATATTTATATCTGGATTTATTATTTATATCTTTATAAGTACAAGGAAATTGTAAGAATGAAAATTTCCAGGCAAAAGTAACTTTCACATTATATGCTACTACTCTGTTTAAAATAATTTATTTCAGCATTTTTTTGAAAAAATATACAATAAAAACATATTAATATCTTATATGGCAATTTCCGTTTTTGTATGTGTTATATATTTAGACTAGGAAATAATATTAATTTTGATAAAAGTATTTTTACAAACAGATACCACTACTTTCTTTATTTCCATTCTTCAACTTATATATTCCTTGGAAGCATATAATATTATTCAAAGAAGAAAATAAAAGAATGAATGAAGTTAGAAAGGTAAGATGGGTGAAAAGGAGAAAAGAAGGAAAGAAGTAAAGAAGAAAAGTGACAGAGCAGTAGGTAAAATATTAGTTATGCCAAAATAAGTACATATTTAATTAAAATTAGAAAAAATGAAAAAAATGGTTGTGAAGCCAATTTTCTTGATTTATAAGTGCGTGAGTTTAACACCTACTGTGTTATCGATGGCATAGGAAGTTATATGTGAAACATCCATATATGTTATTGCTAATTCCCATGCATTGCATGTGTGTATTGGTGTGTGTGTGTCTGTGTGTGTGTGTGTATTTAAATAGCACATAGTATAAATTGTATGTGAAGCACTTTTCATGTTAACTCTAAATTTAATTTCATGGTCACCTCATAAAGAGCTCTGGCTTTTTTTTTTCTGAGGCGTAAAAGTATGTGAAATTTGGAAAAGGGGAATGCAGTTGTAAATAAGGAGAGATGTTGATTTTTTTTCTTTTTTTTATTTAAAAAAAAAAAGAAAAGACACTTTTTTTTTTTCTAAGACAGAGTCTCACTCTGTCGCCCAGGCCGGAGTGCAGTGGCGTGATCACAGTCTCACTGCCGCCTCGAACTCCTGGGCTCAAGCAATCCTCCCGTATCAGCCTCTCTGTCATACACACACACACACACACACACACACACACACACACACACTGAAGCCTTCCATGTAGCTGGGACTACAGGAGCGTGCCACCCCACCTGGCTGATTTTTGTATTTTTTGTAGAGATGAGGTCCTGCCATGTTGCTCAGCCTGGTCTTAACTCCTAGACCCAAACAAACCTCTCACCTCAGCCTCCCAAAGTGCTGGTATTACAGGAGTGAATCACTGCATCCGGCAAAAAAGACAGATAGTGGTGATGGTTGCACAACCGCGTGCATATAGTTAATACCACTAAATTGTACACCTAACAATTGTTAAAATGGTAAATTTTATAGTATACATTTTACCATAGTAAAACAATATGTTTAAAAAGTCATGAGTGTAGTGTAGCAGAAGCTGTATCACTGGGATCAATATTTAACCAAGTTGCAGTAAACAGGACCAGAGAGCTTTGTACTACAGATACCCATATCTATGTATGTCTGTTAATTTTCATTTTAGTTTTATATATAATTTCCTTGTGAAAAATTTTGATGTCATCTTGACTGAACTTAAAATTTGATTGTGATCCTACCTTACTGTGGAGAAGAGTGAGATATCAGAGCATACATAGATTTTCAAGTGTGGACGTGGAACCAATAATCAACCAAGCATCAAGCAAGTTAAACCATCTAAGCCTAAAATTTTCCTGCACCAAATCTGATATTATTTTTTTCAACTATATAAAACTTGAAAAGTCATAATTTGTAATATTTATTTTTCACACTACATCAAGTGACAGTTATGCCACAAATCAAGTATATGAATTATAATTAACATTATTCTTTCAAACCTTCAAAGAATGCATGAAATCCAAAGAAAAGTATAGACAAATCAAATGTTAGCATATTCAAAGTCCTTTGAAAAAATGGAATTGAAAGTTAATTTAAAAGTGAAAGTAAAAACTACATACTATTCAGTACAAGGTACAGTTTCTAACACAATAGGCATTAGTATATTTTTTATTGTCATTCATAAAGGAGTGAAAGAGATATTTTAAAATAATAATTAATGTCAGTTTTAAGTGAATAAATTGGAAATATCTGGTTTTTCAGAGAGAATTGAGGAGTTTTAAAATGTGCATTTTCTATTTCTGAGCCATAAATGTATAATAATTCATTTAAATCTTCTGGGTTATTAAGTTAAATTGAGAAATGCAAATATGTCAACACATAATCATATAATTTGAGGTAATACACATAATCATATAATTTGAGGTAATAAAATCAGAAAACAATTAGATTTGTCTTTCTTTAGACATAGTCTTATGTCAAAGTATGCAACCAAATTCAACAAAGGCAAAAGGAGAGTAAATGTCAATGATTTGAATGAGAATAACCATGATGTATCAAGGATTATTTTAGAATAATTGTAAGCGACAGTGAGGCAAAGAAAAAGAGCATTTAAATGAAGTCATATGAAATAGATATGTAGGCATTAATTACAACTTATTTTACAACAATAGAGAATTATTTACTGACCTGGATATTATCTTTATCTCTTTCTCACCAATAAGTTTAGCTACATTTTAATAAGATAAATGAAACACCTTTAGATTTTTTCTAATCATGAAACTACCTCTCAAGTGTTAAAACGTTACTCAAAAGAAATTCACTTTTTCTCTATAGACATGGGCATTTTTTTGCCAAATCAAAAAAATCGGTTTTGTAAAATGATTCATATATAAAATCTAGGATGGATTATTACATCAAACTAATTCACAATATGGCAATAAAAATACTCTTTAATGGTTACAGATAATTGAACGCTTGCCTTTTTTATTAGCAAGGAAACATTTGGTCTGTGCATGAGTAGCAATGGCCATATGTGTCTATAATTAATTACAAATTACCTACTCAACTGGTGTTACCTGGAACAGCTGTTTTGTTTTTTTTTTCTCTAAAGCTAATGTTTAAACATTGAAATGTTCATTAACTCTGTAGCCATATGTACATTCGCATTTTTGTAATGCGGTAGTTTAATTATAAATATGAAAATTTATTCTTTGACAATCATCATAAGCATTAACATTTAACCAATAAAACGTGAACTCTTACACATAAGTGCTATGATTCCTGTTATTTAACTGTAGGAAGATTTCATGCCTATTACACTTCTCATTCTCCCAGGGTTTGTAGACTTGTTAGGTACATTAATCAGAGAATATAATGACAGCAGAGCCAAATCTGAGATTAAATATTTGCCTGAATATATTTCATTATATTTCTTTCCTTGAATAATATGATCCTGTAAGCTGATACAATTCCATGATGCATATTACTAGGCATAAAACTTCTCGATTATTATTAACAGATAACATAAAAAGAATATTTTTCAAAAGGAGAGAGAGAAGGTGAGAGACAGGGAGATTCGACAAGGTTGAATAAAATCAAAGATAGAAGAGAGGTACGTGAAGAGTGATAGTCCTGGAAATACCTCAAAGCAACATGATGGGCTTCTAGTAGAACTCAAAAAGTAGCAAGCAGTAAAATCTTCCTCTGTCAACAGTATGCAGGCTTTCAAGGTGGAAGGCGAGCATGTACTGATCAAAAATATACATATTTCATAAAAAAACAACATACATTTTACCTTTCAAAAATTCACAGCAATGACTCTAACATCTTATCCTATTTAATTAAAGTCCTAGCCTTTGTCTTGCATAAGATATATCATTTTATAATAAAGAGGAAATTATCTTATACACTTTTATTACAAACCAAAAATATGGAAAATATTTTTCGCATTAAGTACATCTAAATATGTAAGGAAACAAACTAGCACTTATAATAAAATATTACATGCAATGTATATGTATAATAGTGATATACACATATACACATACATGTATATATGTACCACAAACATTCATATATATGGATCAAATGTCTAGTCAGTTCAGTGAGAATCAAATATGTCATGACACATACATGAACCATGCTATAGGATATTATTATAGAAAGTCCTCTTGACCAAGAAAAAATTATTTTAAGATATATATATCAAAATGATCAAAATATGAACATTTCTTTGAAAATTATCTAATCTAATTAAATTGTTATCTATGTGCTTTGAATGTAAAATATAGAAGCAGCACTGTATGTATCATTCTACATTTGTATTGATTTTACTCCACAGTATTTGACAATGACATGAGTGTGTTCATCTCATATTTCAGAATTACAAAAAAATCATGCTAATAATGAAAAGAAACATTGTATAGATAACACTGTATATCTAAATGAACTTAGGATAAAATACTCATATTCTGTAATAATTTTAAATGGCATCAGGACAATATCTGAGATTTAGATTAAATTCATTATATCAATGTTGAACAATAATCACTTCAAATCTAATATCCATAAAATGGACAGAATTTCTTTAAATATGTAGTTTTTGGTAACTGAGACAAACAATTCAGATGATGCACAAAAACATAGTTGCATTGAATAACCTCTCATAAAAACTGTAAAAGTACTTCTAAGATATAACATTTTCCATGTGTATATACTTTTATTATTAGTAGGAGCATATTTAGAGCTATATAGTTATTAAGGCAGTGATATTTCCTATATGTCTTATAAGCATAAGGTATATTACACACTCTTGTGTTTTCTTTCTATCATTGTATACAGTATTTTATTTTCTAATTCCTCAGATGGGAAATAGATGCTTAGTGATATTATTAGTTGGATGATTGTACGTAGGAAATATCAAAGTGAGGATAAATATCTTAAGCCAAAGACTTTCATCTTAAACTTTTCATTAAAATGCTTCTTGTATCAAAACTTTATGGTTCGAATTTCTCTTTAAGTGATGTGTTCAATGCAAACATATGTTCTATAATGGTTTGATAAAGATGGTGTGTGTGTGTGTGTGTGTGTGTGTGTGTATCTGTGTGTGTGCATACAAAGAAACAGACATCACACAGTTATATCTTGGACAGGAGTCTGAAATGAACACCAAAAGAAATAGAGGTCAAACCTTGTAAAGAAAGGGTCAAAGACACTAAAGGAAAAAAAAATCATTTAAAACAGCATATAGGACAATGTGTCATAGAGTATAGAATGGTGAAATATGATAAAACATAAAAATTAGCAACATAAATATTACAACTCTGCAAGAGCAGTTCAAACTGTAAAAGTGGCAACCAGAATATTATAGGTTCAACATCAAATGATGATAAATTAAAATACATCTTGTCAGGCACACTGAGAAGTTCCCTAATGTATCCAAGTAATTGTTAAAAAAGAGAAAGAAGCATGGCAAGAGAAGGGTTAACATTGTGGCCTAACTTTCTTTTGCTGGAAGTGCCAGAAAGACAATGTTAAGAGAAAGACAGAAGATACAAGTGCCAAGATATATAAGCTTTCCATAAAATTAAGAAAATGTTTAGAAGGAAAAAAAGAAATTTGAGAGACAAAAGAAAACCAAAGGTAAATGATGTTTTAAAGATAGATGAAGCAAGGCGATTCTGTAACAGCCTTGAGTCTCCTTTAGAACTGAAGAGACTGAAGAAAAGTGGTTAAGTATATTGGAAATGACCTTGTTAAAGATACTTAGGTAGTTATCATTTTCAAGAGGTTACTTTTATAAACTTTTAATCAATGCAGAGTACACATGGGACATAAAACAGAAAACAACAGTAAAACATGTGGTAGAGTATTCAAAGGGTAAAGAATGTGACTCTGAGGTCATAAGATAACAGGGAGAGAAGATGTTGTATGAAATATTATGACTCTCTGAAGACCAGGTATTTTGGTATTTTACGGGCATTTTGGGAGTAATAGTCTGCAATCCACAGAGAGCAAGTGTATTAATCTCAACTCCATCTTCCTTCAGAGATGTGTCACATATTGTAAATGAGCAGTCTGCCTCTAATAGAGACACAAAGAAACTCAAGTATCATTTAAGAAAAGAAAAAAATTCTGTTTAACATTAATGCTGAAATTTAATTTCATTATTTTAATCAATATTTGTAATACTGCTTCTACCTGAAGAACTTCCTTTAATATTTTATAAGGTGCATACCAGCTAGGCATGAATTATTTTAGCTTTTTAATTTTGGAAGCTATAAATTCTTTTACATGTTATCATATTTATCTCTTTAGGTATAATAATATTTTGATTTTATTAGCTGCAATTTCATTCATTGTTTATTTTATCTCATAATGAATTTATATATTTTATAGCTGATTTTACTGTATATTTTTAGTCACATTCACACGCTTATGTAAACTACACATGAAAATATGCATATATTTATACATTATATATAATTATGTCAACCACCTATGTTTTTTGTGTGTAAATACAGATGTAGATATACCTTCTCCCATTTGCTTCTGGAGTAAAATAACATGATATTACATTTTACATAATTACTATTATGGATTTTTGTTTGTTTGTTTGTTTTGCAGCAGAAAATGTTAACACAAACTATAGGTGATCTGCACATCTTTGAGCCATTCAAAATTCATTACAACTAAATAAATGTAGAAATAAATGTTCTCCAATTGGCTCATACTTTACTATTATTCTCTTTTTTTTTTTTTTTTTTTTGAGATGGAGTCTTAATCTGTCTCCAGGCTGGAGTGCAGTGGCGCGATCTCAGCTCACTGCAACTCCGCCTCCTGGGTCCAACCGATTCACCCTCCGCCTCCCAAGTATCTGGGACTACAGGCATCCTCCACCACACCCAGCTAATTTTTTGTATTTTAGCAGTGATGGGGTTTCACCATGTTGGCCAGGATGTTCTCGATCTCCTGACCTTGTGATCCACCTGCCTTGGCCTCTCAAAATGCTGGGATTACAGATATGAGCCACCGCGCCTGGCCTATTATTCCTTAAAATGTCTGGACTTAGATATAAAACCTAAAACTATAAAAATCCTAGAAGAAAACCGAGAAAATACTATTCTGGATGTAGACCCTGGCAAAGATTTCATGACAAAGACTCCAAAACAAATAGCAACAAAAACAAAAATTTACATGTGGGACCTAATTAAATAAGAGCTCTGCACAGAAAAAAAAAAAAAAGTATCAGCAGAACAAACAGACAACCTACAGAATAAGAAAAACATCTGCAAACTATGCATCTCATAAAGGCCTAATATCTAGAATCTCTAAGGAACTTAAATCAACAAGCATAATACAATTTCATTAAAAAAATGGGCAAAGGACATAAGCAGACACTTCTCAGAAGAAGACATACATGCAGCCAAAAAGCATATGAAAAAAATACTCAACATCACCAATCATTGGAAAAATGCAAATCAAAACCACAATGACATACCATCTTACACCAGTCAGAATGGCTATTATAGAAATGTCAAAAAAATAACAGACGTTGGCAAGATTTACAGAAAAAAGAGAACACTTATACACTGCTGGAGAGACTGTAAATTAGTTTAGCCACTGTAGAAAGCAGTTTGGAGATTTCTCAAATAACTTAAAAAAGAGCTATCACTTAACCCAGAAGTCCCATGATTGACTATATACCCAAAGGACTATACATCATTTTACCGTAAAGACACACGCATACATACGTTCATTGCAGCAGCACCATTCACAATAGCAAAGACATGGAATCAATCTAGTGCCATCAGCAGTGGACTGGAATAAAGAAAATGTGGAACATACACATCATGGAGTACTACAGCCTGAAAAAAAAGAATGAAATTATGTCTTTTGCAGCACCTTGGATGGAGCGGAAGGCCATTACCTTATTGAGTTAACCTAGGAACAGAAACTCAAATACTGCATGTACTTACATCTAATTAGGAGCTAAACATTTAGTGCACATGGACGCAAAGAGGGGAACAAAACTGCACTGCGGCCTACTTAAAGGTGGAGGGTAGGAGGAGGGTAAAGACTAAAGAACTACCTACTGGGTACTATGCTCACTACATGGACAAAATAATTTGTACACCAAACCACAAGAACACGCAATTTACCCATGTAACAAATGCGCACATGTACCCTCTGAACCTGAAATAAATTTGGAAGGGAAAATGTTTTAAAATGTTTTTTTAAATAATTTTTTAATTAAAAATAAATAAGTGTCTACTACTTTTTTATCAATAAAACTAAATAAAACCATTGAAACAAATTTTTTGAGGGATTATCAATTAGTTAATGTTCCTATAGGGGAATTATCATCTAAACTAATTACAATTTTTAAAGAGAAATTAACATCATCAGCTACAATAGATATAATACATTGTCATGTTTGAACATTCTGAACAGAAAAAATTCAAGAAGTGACATGTTTTAAAGTAGACAATTATGTGCCCCATATGGTGGGTGACTATATATGATAGTTGAATAATTAATTTAAAATTTATTCTAAGTTATGATATGTTATTTTACCTGGGTTTTTTAATACCATCATGATTGAAATAATATTTGGTGAAAATAAGAAGAGTTAAAGAACATTGACTGAACCTTCGCTTAAGGAACTAAAACACAATTATGAAAAAGAATATATGTAAATGATGATCAATTATAAAAAGCAAAATGTCAAGTGGTACGTGAGTTCTTCTGTGTGCTTTGTCAGTCAAATGGCAAAGTGACCATTTCAGGCCCACAACTTTTTCTATTTTTTGTTTTTTTTGTAATTTTTAAACATTTCTAATTTTACTTTGAGACTTTGTAGAAACGATTCTCACTAAAAATGTTGAACTTGAAGAAAAACATATATACAAGGTACAGCCACACAACTTATATGTTTTTAGGCATTTTGCCATTACCCTAGTTAAACAAAAATGCTAAAAGAGTTTTCAGCATTACATAAAATTGGTCTAGTAAGAAATGAGTACTTTTATTTCAACTAACAGCTGTTCAAATATATATTTCAGATTCAGCCATGAGTGGATTCAAAGTATAGTAATACATGTTAAAATGACATTATGAGTCTGCAATGCATTTTAATTCAAAAGTTTCTGCATTAAATGTTACTTTTTATAAAGGAAAATATGATAAACTGAATCAAATATCTTGCTATCTTTTTATATCCAGTAAACGCCTTTTTAAATGGTAACAAAATAAAAAATCATAATCAAATATATTGTTAGTGTTAAAAGATTTGTAGGCTTGAGGAACACTTATGCTATAAGGCATTTATTTTCCTCTCTCCATCCTTCAAAAGTTCAGGACTCTTTTTTCTATAGTTCAATAGTGTTTGTGCTGTGCCTTTATTTAAGCTCTCATCATAGTGTTTTGGTGTTACTGTGTCACCACTATGCTATGTACTTATATAGGGTTTAGTTGCTATGTGTATATGGTGTCTTATTTTTCTTTTTATTCTTCCTAAGTACTGTGTTTGAGTCAACAATGATATAATATTTTTATATTAAATCATTGTTGATGATTCTGCAAATTTTTCTAATCAATATCTATAGAGCTAAAAATTACATACAGTGAAATAAACAGATCTTAATACTATTTGGCATAAGCATATTTTTTATGATTTCTTTTAAAGATTTCTATTTTGCCTTTTATTTTTAAATCAAAAATCTGTCTGGTATTAATATCGTACTTTTTTTACTAAGAGGCAAGGGTTGTGATTAATTTTTATTTTTATATATTTTCCCATCTCATTTAAGAAACTTTAATTTGCCGTAGAATTGTCTTAGCACCCTATTTTTTAAGACTAATTTATTTCTTTCTGCATCCAAACTTGTGTGTTTGGTTTTCTGTATTTTTCTTCTGCTTCACTGATCTTTTTGTCTATATGTATTGCAATACTACATCTTATTATAGCCTCACGACTTTTTTTGAAATTAATTTTTTTGAATTAACGTGAGCCATTTACTATTGTTCTTTTTCACATTTGTTTTAACAGTTGTAAATCCTCTGCATCTCCATAGAATTACAGAATCAACTGGAAAATATCTTTTTTAAAACACGTTTACTTAGACTTTGATTGTGTTTCCACTACAAGTCCACTCCACATTTCATGTGACGGATAAATTAAATATTGTTGTAAGCCATTGCGGTTTTGGGTTATTGTTATTACAGCGTACCTTAGGTTAAAGTGAAATATAAGCAAACTTTAACACAAAGAGTTTCTCTCCAACATGACTTCCTTGACAAGGTAATTTAAATAGCAGTTCTAGTCATTCTTGACCTTTTAATCCTTTTAAAATGTTAGCTTATGTCATCAATGAAAAAAATTCAAAATTTATTTTAGTGAAAATGATTTATCTCTATAATAGAACTACAGGGGTAAAGGAAAAATTTCCTCTTCATCCTCTGAAGGTTTACTAAAAAGTGAACTGAAAAAAAAAATCAACAGACAAGGCATATCAATTTATTTGGTCATAGTCTTACATGACATTGATGTGTTCAGAATGAAGACCCAAAGATACAAGAGAAATCGTCCATTTTAATACTTAGTTTTGATGGAGAATGGATGGCCATGTAGAACTGTGATTGGACACAAGAGTTACGTTTTCATAATCTATTAGACTGAATGAGGAAGCCCCAAAAGGCCTGTCTGTCCAGATTCTTCAGTGCAGGCTTCCTTCCTTCTGGGTATGGAGCAGGACCCTTTCTGAAATGAGGGTCTTATGACCTGCAATCAAACAAAGTAGGTCAGATAATTTCTTTATGGCCAATTTTTACATAGAACAGCAGGGGAAATAGTAACATTATTAGGTTTTACAGCCGAATGTGGGTAAAAAGGGTTCCGGTTTCTATGATCGGTTTCTATGATCAACCATGAGGAAGAGGGCTTCCAGATTCTACAGCTTGGGTCTGGGGAGAATAAGGGTGAGAGACAGGAGGGCATGAGAATGTCAGAGAGAAACTTTTGCTTCTGGGGCTGTTTCTGAAGCCTTTATTTTGGGGTATTGTTTTCTGAGCCCCAACAGAATTAGGGCCAGGGGAGTAGGTTATGAGCGGCTGCATGTTAGTCTCTAGAACATGGCCTGGTGAAAATAGGCACTTAAATACATATTCAAATAAAAAGTAGAGACATCCTCAACTCATTCTACTTTAGATAAAGTATATCAATTAGATTAAATCTTTTAGAGAAAGAATAATGTGAAACAAAGCACTCTTCTTTAACTGGGGATTTCTGGTATACACATCTTTAGGCATATCTATATTTATATATCTAAAGAGAGATAAATACACATTTTATGACAGCTGAACATTAATTTGCTCATTCATAAATATTTTGTCACCAATATGTGAAAGTTTGCACATAAAAAGTAGAACAGTACTGCATAGTCAATAAATTTGCTTATAATCAAATAAGGAAATAAGTGATTCATATATATATAAAATAATCCTAAAAGCCAAAAGGCAAGTGTCATAGGAATAATTCCACATGCAATAAGAGTGAAGACAATAAAAAGTCAATAATTTCAAATGTTTTGAGCTTTTACACTGAATGAGAAGTCCACTGCATGAGCAACAAAGAATCATTGATGAATTCATTAAAATCAGGTTTAGTGCAGTGCTCTGGGTAGAAGTTACTACAGTTTTATTGAGAAGTAGTATGGAGATGTATAAAATTATAGACATGGACTGAAAATCTCATTGCTAATGCTAGTTTTGATGGTAAGAAAAGAAAGCTTAGCTAGAGGGAAATATCAAAAAGATTACATATAATATATATATTTATAATGTAAATTCTTATTTGAAACATTCTTGGTTAATAGTATGTGTCTACCTCCCTGGTTTATAAATTTAGCCATTATCTATAGTTTTCTTTTTTAACAGTTTGGGAAAATGTATACAAATATTCACATTAAAAACATTATTTTTAATTTTAAAAAATTTTAATAAAAACCTTTTATAATAAATTGAAGACCATGTTCTCAACAGGACACTGTGTGTGTGTGTGTGTGTGTGTGTGTGTGTGTGTGTGTGTGTGTGTTCCATTAGGCAATAGCCATATTCTGAATACCTTTTCCTTCTCCATGAAGCAAGTTATGTTTGCCTTTCCTGAGTTTCACCCCACAGTGACTTGTACCAGTGGAATTTGCTATTGCTTCTTCAGTTGTTCTTAGTTCAACACATATAATCAATTTTCACACTTTCTAAAAGCCAATTTGCTTTATCATATAAACTTCACTATGTTGTCAATGACTAGTGATTCTCTTGTTACCTCTGAGAAGGAACACATTTTATTCCAGTATAACTTCATGTTTGTTGTAACTTTTTAGTAATGATAATTGCTTTAGTGATAATAATGGTAACTGTTTTAAGAGTGTATGTATTATAGAAGGAGACCTGTAGTTTTGAGGTATAAATCTAATATCATTTTGTTCCTTACCTTACAACAAAAAAAGATGCCATATGAACTTTCAGAGAGAATATTTGCTCTTTTAAAATCCATCTGTTAAATATTGAAGACTGGTTTTTTTGAACTAACCCACTGAGACAAAAAAATTAAAAAGTAATAATTTAAAATACATGAACAAAGTCTTTGAGAAATGTGGGATTATGTAAAGCAACCAAACCCACAAATTATTAGCATTCATGAGAGAGAAGAAGACAACATAAACAATCTGAAAAACATATTTGATAGAATAATTCAAAAAAATTTTCTAATTTTGCTAGAGAGGTAAACATCAAGATTAAAGATATCCAGAGAACACCTGTGAGAAACTGTACAAAATAAATACCACCAAAGCATACACTATTTGCACTGCACAAGGTCAATTAAAAAAAAATTTAAGACAGCTAGAGAAAAAGATCAGATTACATTCAAGTGGAACCCCATCAGGGCAACAACAGTGGATTTCTCACCAAAAGCCACAGAAGCCAGAATAAAAGGGGGGCCTTTTTTGGCATTCTAAAAGAAAAGAAATTCCAAAGAAGAAGTTCATATCTCGTCAAAAAAAGGCTTCTAAAGTGAAGGAGAAATGCAAATATTTTATAGACAAAAAATTGCTAAGAGTATTTGTTACCACTACCCCAACCTTACAAGAGATCTTTAAGAGAGTTCTAAACATGAAGAAAAAGAGAGAGAGAGAGAGAGAGAGAAAATCAATACCTGCCACTATAAAAACACACTGAAGTGAATAATCCATTGACCCTCTCAAGCAACTATACAACAGAAACTACAAAACAACCAGCTGATGGCTTCATCATAGGATCAAAACCTCACATATCAGTATTAACCTTGAACATAAAGTGTCTAAAAGCATTCACTTAAAAGGCACAGAGTGGTAAGTTGGATTAAAAAAAAACAAGATCCATTAATCTGCTGTCTTCAAGAGATACATCCGAAGTGTAATGGTACCCACAGACTCAAAGTAAAGGTTACAGAAAGATCTAACACAAAAACAGAACACAAAAGAGAGCAGGAGTGCCTATTATTATATCAGATAAAACAGAATTTAAACCTACGATTGTAAAATAGGACAAAGAAGGGCATTACATAATGATAAAGGGCTTAACTCAACAAGAAGATTTAACTATCCTAAAAACATATGCAGCTAACATGAGAACAATCAGATTTATCAAGCCAGTACTTCTAGAGCTACGAAAATACTTAAACAACCACACAGTAATAGTAGGGGACCTCAACACTCCACTGACAGCATTAGCTAGATCATTAAGGCACCAAATTAACAAAGAAACTCTGGACTTTAAATGAGACACTCTACCAATTAGACCAAATATATATCTATAGAAGACTCCTCCCACAACCACAGAATATATACTCCTGTCATGTATACATGAAATACAGTCAAAATTGATGACATCCTTAGTCATAAAGCAAATCTCAATAAATTCAAGAAAATTGAAATCATACCAAGCATAGTCTCAGACCACAGACGAATAAAAGTAGAAATCAACACCAACAATATATCTCAAAACCATACAATTATGTGGAAATTAACTTGTTCCTGAATGACTTTTAGATAAACAATAAAATTAAGGCAGAAATCAAACAGTTCTTTGAAATAAGTGAAAACAGAGAAAAAAAAATACCCAAAAGTGTGAAATGCAGCAAAATCAGTGTTAAGAGGAAAGTTTATAGCACTAAATGCCTACATCAAGAAGAGAGAAACATTGGCTGGGCACGGTGGCTCATGCCTGTAATCCCAGCACTTTGGGAGGATGAGGCACGTGGATCACCTGAGGTCTGGAGTTCAAGCTCAGCCTGACCAACATGGAGAAACTCCATCTCTACTAAAAATACAAAATTAGCTGGGCATGGTGGTGCATGCCTATAATCCCAGCTACACAGGAAGCTGAGGCAGGAGAATTGCTTGAACCCAGGAGGTGGAGGTTGTGGTGAGCCGAGATCGTGCCATTGCACTACAGCCTGGGCAACTCCAGCTGAGCGAAACTTCGTCTCAAAAAATATATACAAATAAAAAAAGATAGAAACATCTCAAATTAACAACTTAACATCACACCTATAGAAACTAGAAAAATAAGAACAAATTAAACTCAAAGCTAGAAGAAGAAAAAAACCAACTCAAATTAGAGCAGAACTTAATGAAATTGAGATCCAAAAATCTATATAAAGAATTAATAAAACCAAAAGTTGGTTTTGCAAAAGACTAAATAAGATCAATATACCACTAACTAGATTAACAAAGAAAAAAATGGGAGAAGATCCAAATAAGCATAATCAGAAATGACAAAGTTGACATGATAATACCCCAGAAATATAAAAATTAATAGCATACTGTTATGAACTCCTCTATGTATACAAACTTGAAAATCTAGAAGAAATGGATAAATTCCTAGAGACACACCACCTCCCAATACCGAGTAAAGTAGAGATCAAAACCCTGAGCAGACCGTTATTGAGTTGCAAAATTGAGTTAGTAATAAAAAACCTACCAATCATCAAGAGCACTGGACCAGATGCATTCACAACCAAGTACTACTAGACATACAAAGAATAGCTGGTACCAATATTATTGAAACTCTTTAAAAAATTGAGTAGGAAGAATTTCTCCTTTACTCATTCAACAAACCCAGCATCACCCCAGTAGCAAAGTCTGTCAAAGATATGACAAAAAAAAAAAAAAAAAAAGAATCCACAGGCCAATATCCCTGATGAACACAGACACAAAAATCTTCAACAAAATACTAACAAACTGAATCCAGTAGCACATCAAAAATTAATTTACTATGATTAAGTGATTCTTGTGATGCAAGGTTGGTTCCACATACACAAATTAATAAATGTGATTCACCACAAAAATAGAATTAGAAACAAAAAACATATGGTTATCTCAATAGATGCAGAAAAAGCTTTCAATAAAATTCATCATCCCTTTATGTCAAAAACCCTCAAGAAACTAGGCAGCAAAGGAACATACCTCAAACTAAAAAGAGGCATCTATGACAAACTCATAGCTAATATCATACTGAATGGGCAAAAGCTGGAAGCGTTCCCCTTAAGAACAGGAACAAGATAAAGATACTAACTCTCACAGCTTCTATGCAACATAGTACTAGAAGTCTTAGCAAGAGAAATCAGGCAAGAGAAATAGATAAAAGCTATCCAAATAGAAAAAGAAGAAGTCAAATTAACTCTCTGCACTGACAATATAATCCTACACCTAGAAAACCCAACAAAATCAATTTATAAAAATTAGTAGAATTTCTATACACCAATAACATTTAAACTGACAGCCAAATCAAGAACATAATCCCATTTACAGTAGTGACAAAAGAATAAAATACCTGGGAATACCTGTAACCACAGAAGTAAAAGATATATATACATCTTATGTATATATATATATGTGTGTAAACATAACACACACACACACATATATGTATATAAGCAGAATAGCAAAACACCCTTGAAAGAAATAATAGATGACACAAACAAATCAAAAAATATTTCAGCCTCACGGATTGAAAGAATCAGTATCATTAAAATGGTCATATTGCCTAAGGCAATCTACAGATTCAATGCTATCTTTTTCAAACTACCAACATCATTTTTCGCAGAATTAGAAAAACTATTCCAAAACTCATATGGAATCAAAAAGGAGTTTGAATAGCCAAAGCAATCCTAAGCAAAAGGAACAAAGCCAGAGGCAACACATTAAGTGACTTCAAACTATACCATAAAGCTATAGTAAACAAAACAGCATGCTACTGTTCCAAAAATAGACACATAGACCAATGGAATAGAATGGAAAACGAAAACGAAAAAAAAGAAAGCTGCACATCTACCATCATTTGGTCTTTGACAAAGTTGATAACAATAAACAATAGATAAAGTAATCCCTATTAGTAAGTGATGCTGGGACAACTGACTAGTCATGTGCAGAAGAATCGAATTGAACTCCTACCTTTCACCATGTATAAAACTTAACTCAAGATAGATTAAATATTTAAGTGTAAGACATAAACTATAAGAATCCTAGAGGCTGGCTGTGGTGGCTTACGTGTGTAATCTTAGCACTTTGAGAGATGGAGGGGGGCAGATCATTTGAGGTCAGGAATTCAAAACCAGCCTGGCCAACATGGTGAAACCCCATCTCAACTAAAAATATAAAAAACTAGTGGGGCATGGTAGTGCACGCCTGTGATCCCAGCTACTTGGGATGCTGAGGCAGAAGAATTCCTTGAACTCACGAGGTGGAGGCTGCAGTGAGTTGAAATTGTACCACTGCACTCAGCTGGGTGACAGAGTGAGACACTGTCTCAAAAAAAAAAAAAATCCTAGAATAATCCTAAAATAAAAATAATCCTAGAAAAAAAAATCCTAGAATAGGAAATTGTCTTCTCAATATCAGCCACAGCAAAGAATTTATGCCTAAGTCCTCAAAAGTAGTTGCAACAAAATTAAAATTGGCAAGTGGGACCAAATTAAGCTAAATAATTTCTGCACAACAAGAGAAAATATCAACAGAGTAAACACACAACCTACTAAAAGAGAGAAAATATTCACAAACTATGCATCTAACAAACTTTAATATCCAGAATCCATAAGAAACTCAAGAACAAAACAACCCCATTAAAAAGTCAGCAAAGAATATGAACAGACGCTTTTCAAAAGAAGACGTACATGTGGCCATCAAACATCTAAAAATATGCTCAACATCACTGATCAACAGAGAAGTGCACATCAAAACCACAGTGAGATACAATCTCACACAAGTCAGAATGGCTATGATTAAAATGTCAAAAAATAACAGACGTTGGCAAGGCTGTCTGGGGCAAAGAACGCTTATTCCCTGTTGGTGGGAATGTAAATTAGTGTAGCTACGGTGGAAAGCAGTTTGAAGATTTCTGAAAGAACTTAAAACAGAACTACTATTTGACTCAGCTATCCCATTACTGGGTATATAACCAAGGGAAAGTATATCATTCTACCAAAAAGACACATGCACTCATATGTTCATCACAGTACTATTCACAATAGCAAAGAAAAATGTGGTGCACATATACCATGAAATACTATGCAGCCATGAAAGAGAACAAAATCATGTCCTTTGCTGCAACATGGATGCAGCTGGAGGTCATCATCCTAAACAAATTAATTCAAGAACAGAAAACTGAGTACTGCATGTTCTCACTTATAAGTGGAACTAAACATTGTGTACATATGAAAATAAAAGTGAGAACACTAGACACTGGAGACTTCTAGAGGATGCAGAGAGGGAGGAACTGAGTGGCTGAAAGAATTATCTATTGGGTACCATGCTCATTACCTGCATGATAGGAACTTTCATTCCCTAAACCTTAGCATCACGTAACAAACTTATATAACAAACTTGCTCATGTACTCCCTAAATCTAAAATGAAAGGTGAAATTATTTTTATAATGATAATAAAAATAAATAAATTGCTTCTGTGGTTTCAACAGTTGCAATTTATAATGAAATTGGATACTGCAATTAACCACTCTCTGATCAGTACAAATTTGAAAGCAATATGCCTTAATCACATTTTGCCCAAATTAGAATGGCTGAAATGCATTCATTCCATTTTGCCCGTGAATTTTTAAAAATCATTTTGAAATAAGGGAAGGGGGTAATATAAGTGATGAATGAGACTTTTCCACTTCACTGTGGTGGCTAAACAATTTTTAAACTTGGTATTTATCACTACATATCAGAAAATACCATTTTGGGGAGATATATTTTATCAACTTAAAATAGAACACACTAGGATACAGGCTGGATTAATATGGATATTTGATAAGCATGAAACACTTTCGCTATCAGAGATAAAATAGAATATGGGCCCAGGCACAGTGGCTCACACCTATAATCCCAGCACTTTGGAAGGCCGAGGTGGACAGATCATCTGGAGTCAGGAGTTTGAGACCACCCTGGCCAACATGGTGAAACCTCATCTCTACTGAAAAAAAAATTCAAAAATTGGGGCCAGGGGCGCTGGCTCATACCTGTAATGCCAGCACGTTGGGAGGCTGAGGTGGGCGGATCACCTGAGGTCAGGGGGTCTAGACAAGCCTGACCAACATGGCAAAATCCTGTCTCTACTAAAAATAAAAAAATTAGCTGGGGTGCTGGTGGACCCCTGTAATCCAGGAGGCTGAGGCAGGAGAATCACTTGAACCTGGGAGGAGGAGGTTACAATGAGCCAAAATTGAGCCATTGCACTCCAGCCTGGCGACAGAACGAGACTCCATCTCAAAAAAAAAAAAAAAAAAAAAAAAAAAAAAAAAAAATTAGCCAGGTGTGGTGGCAGGTGCCTGCAGTCCTAGCTACTCAGGAGGCTGAGGCAGGAGAATTGCTTGAACCCTGGAGACAGAGGTTGCAGTGAGATGAGATTGTGCCACTGCACTCCAGCCTGGGCAAGAGAGCAATACTCTGTCTCAAAAAAGAAAAAAAAAAAAGGGAGAGAGAGAGAATATGGGTGAAGTAAGCAAACAATGGTATAAAGGTGCTTTATGGTTTTAAAAAATAAAATGGTAAGCCCATTTATGTGCTGAGATGACCACCGCAGAGTCATCATTAGATATATTTTAATGAAAAATAATGTGCCTTATTTACTTGTCAGAGACTGCTTTTTAAGTAAAGAGAAGAAAGCCATTTTTCCTCAGTAGGTCTAAGCTACTGTCACCTTCATGCCGAATGAAGCAATAGCACAGCAGCATATCACTTAAAGGATTCACTGAGGAGGATGCATTCTGTTTATATTTATTACTGTTATTCTTTTAAAATGGCCTAACTTATTCATTGGAGAGAAAGACCTTAATCAGTTTAAAATTGCCTTTATGTATAAGAGTATTTACTAGATGAGCAGCAGGTGTAGCAGTCAGAATGATTGAGAAAATATATTTAAAAACAGTGGGAACAGAAATTAGATAGCAGAAATGGCACTTAATTTCCTCATCATGCTCATAGAACTGTAATGGTTTCAGAGAAAGCATCAGCTGTTAGAGAATGAACATGGAAGTATATAAAGAACCAAGTATTTAAGGAACTCAGTGACACAAAAGTACAGGTTACCATGAGAGTTCTTGGGGGCATGTAATGATTCTTGAAGTCGTCAGAGAATGCTAAAGAGAGGAAGCGATAACTAGATCACGAAACTACAAACACGGTTTGGATAAGATTGAAAGATGCATTAAATAAATAGTCTTTGAAAAGGTTGGGAAGTGAGAGAATGATTCATATGTTTTACAAGGCAAGGATATTTAAGAGAGACTTGCAAAAAGTCCAGCAGAAGGGTGAAATGAGCTGGGCAAGATAGATTTCGGATTTTTTACTGACTGTAACTAGAACTCACTGAAAAGTTTTTATCTGAAAAATAAAATGACTTTTTTAAAGAAAGAAACATATCTAGCTAACATTGGAGACCAGATTAAAGTAGACAAGACTGGCTTCAGGCAGATCACATTAGGAGACTGACCTAAGACATTTGGAAAGGAAGTGAGAGTCAAAGAAAAGAAGAAAATGTCTGGGAGTTTGGAAGTCAATTTTGGAAGTCAGAGTTGGGGAAAAGGGATACTTAAATATGGTTCCTATATATTTGCTGATGTTAGTGTCACAGTAAGTTATCAAAATAGAGATGTCAGTAATAAGCTCATATCAGAAGTAATCTGATTCTGGAGGCCATAAAAAGCCAAATGAGAACTCGAAAATGGAGATATAAGTGATGATGACTTTGGAACACAGACAGGTTTACAGAAAAGTAGATGTCGATTGAAAGGATTTATTAAAGTGAGAAAAGTTGATATTACAAAAGTGAAGTGATAATTTATACATATGAATAAAGATTAGTCTCTGAGAATAAAGATTAGCGTGGAATTTAGAGAAATAAAATAACTAGCCTTACAGACAAGGAAGAAAAATGCTTTGCTCCCTGAAAACAAAAGGAAGAAGGAAAGATGTGAACCTAGTGCAAATGAAGACAGCTATAGCCGAGGTGGCAACTAATCATGGGAGGTTTTATTTGATAGTTTTTAGCTTCTTCATAAAGTAGCAGTAGAGATCATCTGTAACACTGAAGGGAGAAAAAAAAGTAAATTTGAAAAATAAATAGAAGCTCAAATAACTATGTGGAAAAGCGGGAAGAGAGAATTTACTGTTTTTAGTAATGCAAATCTGAAAGTCATTAAAGACCATGAATTGATCAATAGTGGAATTTATCTGCTTTTATTATTACATTGAACTGGTCTTCTCCAGCAACTCTTAACAACTTGCATGCAATAGCAAAAAATAACACATGGAAAGGTTTGGCCAGGAATGTGCAATGTTAAAAAAAAAGTTGAGAATGCTAGCAAGATAATGTTTGAAATGATGAACTAGGGTAATTTAGGCTTAAAGGAGTAAGGAAAGAGGAAAGAATAAAAAAAGTGAAGGAAATGAAGTGTAGAATGAGGCAGAAACATAGAGGATTTGGAGATAACTGAAGAAGAGTTCAGGAACTTTCTGGAACCACTGACCTATAATTATGTGTTTCACACTATCTATGTCACCCAGCCCTGGAATTTTCTGTTAGGCCTTACATTTACCCACTGGCAACTTCAACTGTTGATATCAGTCTCCTTTTCTTAATAATACATTAGCATTTCTAGCTAACTTATTCAAGTTTTTCCTGAATAAGAAAATGGTATGAAGATACTTAACAGTTTTAGTCTACAATTTTTTTCTGTTTTCTTCACCTTTGTAATATTCTTTATTCCCTTCTTTTCCACGTATAGTCATTCTTCCTTTAACTGAAGGTTTTTGTTCTGTGGTGTGAATGGTGCTTGAGATGAAATTTTTTCTTTCATGATTTTGTGCTTTCTAGTGTAGTTTCTCATTAAACTTTATGCACTCTTCATTGGGAGTCATCCTTGGAAGTTATAAGCCAAGTGTGTCATGACACATGCATGGTTTTTAGGGGTAGTATCATAATTGTTTCAACATTTTCTAGTACACTTTTGACATATTTAATTTGGTTCATTTAATAGTTGTTCCATATTGATCCTAAATGTGACATGAAATAATGAATGAAACAGTTTCTTTGTTGAAGAACCATTATCAACTAATCCGACTTCAAAATTATTGACTTTATTTTGTGATTGCATGCTTAATGTCTCTGCAAATTCCTGAATATTTCACACTTCCTCAGTATATACAAGTGGTGGGGTTCTCTGATGTCTTAAGTAACTTACAGATAACCCTGAAATTTATGCTCTTACTCCCAGTAGCCTTGTCAAATTCATAAACAACTACATGCAGAAGAACAAAGCTTTTTGGAGGGAAAATCCAAAATCACAAGAGACAAACACAAATCTATCTAACAAAATGAAAATGTTAAACTATTTTTTAAATTATTAATGTTCAGTAACACACATTTCAATATTTTTTCTTACTTTGCAGCAGCTATAACACATATGTTTGCTATTTTAAATTATAGAGAGATAATATTAGAATGTTAAGACCTATTGTGGAAGGACTTCTGGCTTCAAGATTCTAAGTGTCCTCCTGGGGACAAGATGGAGTAACTTAACATGATTTTCTGGGGTCATCTTATTGGCACAAAAAGAAGAGACAGGAAGATGCTGTGGGGAGCGGTGGCAAGTATAAGATAATTTTTTCATGGTGAAGTGGGGAAAAATTTTCTGTTGACTTTATGTTTATCTAATCTGTGTTTTAGATACTAATTCAGGAACCTAAGATTCAGTAGTTCTGTATGTTCTTCTTTTCTATTTTTGTAAATCTGAACTTTCATTAAAATTTTCAGGGACATAAATGATGCTGGAGGTCATTATCCTTAGCAAACTAACACAGGAAGAGAAAACCAAATACCACATGTCCTCACTTGTAACTGGGAGCTAAATGTTGAGAACTTACAAACACAAAGAAGGAAATTAGAGACACTAGGGTCTACTTCAGTGGGGAAGAGTGGGAGGAGGGAGAGGAGCAGAAATGATAATTATTAGGTACTGGGCTTAATAACTGGGTGATGGAATAATCTGTATAACAAACCCCCATGACACGAGTTTACCTATATAACAAAAAGCTCATATATCCCTTAACTTAAAATACAATTTTAAAAAATTGAGTTGCTTAAATGAGTACTGTTTTCTGCTGTGATTATATATATTTTAAATATATGTATATATTTTAAACAATACAGAGATGAGAAATTGTTACACTAATATGAAACAATGTATATTAGAAGAAAATTTAATTTAAAAATATCAACATAATATAGAAGTAAATAGTAACAACTTAGATTATCTCTATTCAAAAATAATAATTATACATTGTAATACTATAATATTTCTGCTTTAATTATATATAAATCTATAGTATTACTCAAAACAATTATATTAATCTCTAACTTTGGCTAAAACCTCAACAAATATCTCACATTGGAAAATATTTAATTTCCAAAATTGCTGCTACTTAAATGATAACATGAATAAGAATGACATGCACTAAATATTAAACAGCTTTTCATAAAGATAGGAAAATAGTCATATGCAAATAAATATTCAAGTAAAACAGAATGCAGAAATTTGAGTATCCTTTATTAGTACTTAACTGGGTAGTTTGTAAAATTTATTTTCATCACTACTAAACATGAACTTTTAATTTCAAATTATTTATTTCATAGATAAACAAAGCAGCTTCCTGGAATTATAGTCAGTTTCCACTCCAAAGTTTTGAAGGAACAATTTTTTTTTAATGTAACATTTGTTTTTATTTAGAGAACGAGAATTCAGAAAACACAACTAACAAATTCCTATGTCTTTAAAATCACAGTAAATGTAAAGGCATGCATTTTACTATTTTTTTGTAGTCTATATGCTAAGTGAGAATGAAGAAAGAATTTTGAATTTGCAGCTTCATTCCTCTGAGCCAATCACAAAAACAGAGCATTTGTTCCCTGTGTAATTATATGTGCCATGTTTTATTTTCCATAAAAATACTTTTTCTAAAATTCAGTTTTCTGTTTTAGAGTTTTTTAATGAAATAACTGGAACTTTTATGTTTTACTTTTATTGTGATTTTGAGCAGATAAGTAGAACACTGATTTTAATGGTTATATGCATAACTGTCTTAAAAAAGATTTTTCAGAGGGTAGTGGTTGATGTTGGGTGTTGCTGAATATATGGTGGTGATTCTTTGTTTGCAGAGGACAGGGAAGACCTATTTATATATGGCAATTATCACAATATGTTTTAAACTTCAAAATCCACAAAAGAACTGATTTTTTTTCTTTAGGTACATTAAGCACATGTAATGTGTTTTCATAAAATTTAGTAGTTCAGAAAGATGTACAAAGAGAATGAGCTCTGGACTACTACAGTCTGAAGAGATTGGATTCATAGCAGCTATCATGTTGTCTCTATAACACATTGTATAATAGAAATAAAATATGAAACAGATGGATAACTAGAAATTGAAGCCATTTTTCTTCTGTAAAGCCCCTATTTCCAACTAAGATTACATTCTGAGGTACTGTGGGTTAGGACTTCAGTATATCTTTCTTGGGGTACAAAATTCAACCCATAACAACCAATAAAGAGGAATCCAATGCAGTAATATTCTATATTTGGAAGGGGATGAATAGAAAAGTTTTTTTAATTGACTGAAATATATTAATGTTTTAGAATTTGTCCATGGAGCAGAAGACAGAGAAAGAAACACTAGGTGCAGATTAAATAAGTTACTAAATATGTTAGTAATGTTATTTTCAATTTAAAAATAATAGAACGAAATGAGTAAATTACTTCTAGTACACTATTTTATGGTTACTGTCTTTCAAAACTAAGAGGCTATGAGTGATGAGGCTGAAAATTTTAAAAATCTCATAGTTAATTTGAATTCATTCTTGTCACAAGAAAAAGAAAGCAAATGTATAAAAATATATGAAAATAAAACTTACATATTATTTGTATTTTAAGGCAAATGCCTGCCTTTCACTTGTACAGATATTTGCAAACAAAAATGAAAACTTTTGGTTTATACTGATATCTGCATATCAGAACACATTCAGTCACGACATATTAAAATATTTCTGGAGACATAAAAAATTATTAAACTTCCCAAAAATATGGAATGCTAAGTCATGAAACACTAAGGGTTTCCAGAGATTGATAGATATTGCTATAAATTATAAATTCCTATTAGGCTGAATCTTCAAAAAAAGAAAAGCAAGACCAATGCCACTAAAAATGCTTGATCTCATTAAACTAAGGATCTATTCTCTGTAATTGAAAGTTGGCCTTCATTCCTTCTACAACCTGGCTCATAAAAAATTCATACCAACAAAATTGTTGGACAACTCATTCTTTCTGCTGGTAGGAGTTCAGTAATATCTGCTTCTCTTTAAATTGCAATTTCACACCTTTTCAAAGATGTTTGTATCATGGGTTTGTGGGAAGGTGGGATGAAACAGAGCAAGAACAAAAAGAAATAAAAAAGCAAATGCACAGCAGGAGAAACAGAGCACAACCTAGAGCATGGCATACATTGCAGAACCCAGAGCCTGGACTCCAGTGCCAAGTAATTCCAGATTTCAATTCAGATTTAATCATTCATAGATTTAATCTAAGTACACATCAGTTTTCTTTTCTGGAACATGGAGTTAATAACACTTATTCCATAGAGTTGTCCCACGAAACAAATGAGATTATGCATATGAGATATTTAGTATAATCCTTGGCATATAATAAGCATTTAGTAATTGCAGCTAATTTGTGTCACTCAAAGTATAGACATCAGATGATATAAATTTCAAGCCAAAACAAATAAGTGGAAAAAAACAAATTTTGTTTAAAATGATACAATTATTTAAGCAAGTTATATTTCAAAGTTAAACTTTGAAAATCTCTCTAATAAATATTAGAAAGCAATAATTTGACATTGACAATATTTACCCAAAACCCCATTTATATAAATAAAACATCATAAGTAGAAGAGGGGCAGGGAAAAAAATGCAATACATTTTTTTTATGCAAGTCTTTATCTTGCATTCAAAGAAGAAAAATTTATTCTTTTAATGATTGTGACAACCAGAAAATGTATTTACATAATGATAAAATTAATACATTTAGAATTCTTGACTATTTGGTTACATGATTATTATTAGCTAACCAGAATTAGATAACTCTAGTTATCTATCTCTCTCCTGCCTATACATTCATATGATTTAAACAAGATAAAATTGATTAAATTGATCACTTTTAGAAATATGAGTATCTTCATTAAGCTGGGCATTTTGTGACATTTCTCTTATATAGCATATAATAATTTGGTTAGAACTGTATTAGAAGAAATTAACAACTTTCACTTTGAAACAACTTTTTGCAAAGTAGTTGAATAGAAAATAATTAAGGGCTAAATTTCTGATGTGCCTCAGGAAAATTTAAGAGGCTATTACTTGGACATCCTTTTGAACTTTCAAGTCAATGAAGTACCTAAAATTTTGAACTCTGGGTTTCTACTCCTACAAATGATGAGTGATTTTTAGAGTACCCGAAAATTTTCTGTATATCAGGTATTATTAGTAGAAATAAAGAATGCAAGCTTAACTAGTTCCTTTCATGAATTATCATAGATAAATTACATTTATTATTGTAATAGAATTAAGCAGTAATTCAAAATTATACCTGAGTAGCAAGTGTTCTAGAATAGCATCATTTTTTGAAATAAAAGCTTTCTCCGCTTTGGTCATTATTTGAAGTTTTGAAATTTTATAACTTATATTATGTACCCTATAAACTGCCAAATTGAAAACTAACAGCAATATTACTAATTACATTAAGGCAGGGCATAATAGTCATGATAAAAAAATTACACAACTTTTAAGGACAGCAGTCCATGATAGAAAAAAATAATAGGTAGAGTTTAGCTAGCATAGAAACTCACATTGAATTTCACAAAGTCCTATTGAGTAACATTCTTTTGTATGTAACAAAACACTACATGTTTAGCATTCTAAAAATAAATGGTAAGCTTACAAAATAAGTAATAACCACAAATTATATGTATGATACTTGAAATACAGCTTACAATTTAAAAATGAATTCTGACACATAACATTCAAATTCATTATCCTTTTTTGTAGATAGATTTAAATATGTTCTGAGATACATGTCCTCTTCACTATTTAAACAATTTTGCTTTTCCCCGGATTTGTAAATTATAATAAGTCCTTCATTTTGTTTACTTGTCACAACTTGTTCAGAGATATTCAAAATATAGTACTTAGTAAATACATGATTTAAGAAGAAAATCAATAATTTTGACAGAATTTTCTTACGTTTGTTTATTCTTTTTTCCTTAATTTTTACGAGTTTACATTTCTAAAAAAGTAATTTATTGTCTGATTAAGGAAGGAATAATAGCCTTTTAATTGTTCTTCTTGTTTTCATTTTTGTCACCCATCAGTCCATTCTCCAGACAGGATCCAAAGGGATTCTTTCAATAAAGTCGAAGCTCTGTATTGAAGTGTGCAGGGGTCTCTGGGCTCAGACTCCTCATTAGCCTACACCACATGTTTGTTAGATGTACTTTGCTTACATTCACTTTCTAACCCTTGATCAGGAGAGACTTTTTTCTACCCCGGGGACTTTGTACAACGTCTTGTATCTACATCGAACATTCTTTTCCCAGATTTTCACAGCATGGCTGTTTCTTGTCACTTGGCCTCAACTCCTGACTCCCATTATAAAGTACATCCCTCAGCTTAGGTCTCTCATTCAGCTTTCTCACATTAGTATATTAATTTTTTCTCATAGAAATTATCACTGTAAGAAGTTATTAATTTATATTAATCTCTATCTCCACCAGAATAAAAGCACCGTAAGACAGTGACTAGTTTGCTCTTTGGACCCACATCAGAGACAGTCTTTGACATCTGTAAACCACTACAAAATTTAGGACAAATTAATGACAGTGAACAAGGAAAGGAAAAATTGGAGTGGGAATTAGATCTATGTACATATTAACTCTGTGAATGAGAAGCTAAGGAAAATAATTTAGTCTTGCTTGATTTCTTTTTGCTCACTATTAAAATGAGGATTTTTAATTAAGCAAATTTGAAAGTCTCTTCTTTAAGGAGTCTCCACACTCTTTTCCGTAGTGGTTGTACTAGTTTATATTCCCACCAGCAGTCTAGAAGTGTTCCCTTTTCACTGCATCCATGCCAACATCTATTATTTTTTATTTTTTTTCATTATAGCCATTCTTGCAGGAATAAGCTCATCTCTCTAAAATTTTAATACTAGACAATTTTAAGTTGGTAATAATGCTATCAGACAAAGTATAGACTTTAGTCACGTATCTTTTTTTCTGTAGAAGGTGGTTGGATAATATAAAAGTAGTATAAAATGTCTTACAAAAAAAGGGAAATTATCATGTCATATATCTAAGGCGGAAGCACAATGCTCACTCAGAGAATTTTTTGATGAAAATGTGCTAGTTAAGTAATATTTCACCGATAATGAATTTAAGTGATGGTCATTAAATATTCTGCCCCTTTACAGATAGGATGTCTAATTTAAATATATGGATTTGTTGAGTAGGTTAATAAAAATCTTCCTTTGTTTTCTATTAACTTTCTCTACCTCTTATACCTACTATTAAGTCAAATCTTTTCTTTTTTGATTGAACATAGAGAAAGAATTTATTTTAGGACAACTTATAAAGTATCGTAGACGTGATTTTTAACGAAAGGAGAAAAGCATAATCCGAAAATGTAGAGATAAATGAAGGAAGTTCTCTGGAGTTCTCCTCTATAAAAAACTTGATTATGGATGAAGGATATAGATGAGATCTACCCTATGGATGTTCCAAGTTTATAGATTTCTTTTCTTCCCTTTTATTTTTAGTTTACATTTAATAATTGTACATATTTATGGAATATAAAAGGATAATTCAATACATGTACACAATGCATACATCTCAAATGTTTATTATTTCTTTGTGTTGGGAACATTCAAAATCCTTTTTTCCAGCTTTTTGAAAATTATTGTTAACTATATACACCCTACAGTGCTATAGTGTACTAGAGAGTATTCTTATCTAGCTATAATGTTGTATCCGTTAACTAACCTCTCTCTATTTTCTTCTCCCTAAGACCTTTCTAGCTTCTAGTAATATTTTTTCTGCTCTCTATTTCTGAGCTCAGCTATTTTTTTAGCTCCAACATATAAGTGAAAATATGTGGTATTTATCTTGCTGTACCTTGACTTATTTCACTTAACATAGTGTCCTACATGCTTATCCATGTTTCTGGGAATGACAAGATTTCATTTTTTATAGCTCAATAATATTTCATTATATATAATCACATTTTCTTTATACAATTATCTGTTGATGGGCATTTAGGTATATTTTGTATCTTAGCTATTGTGAATAGTGCCGCAATAAATATGGAGGGTACAGGCATATATTTGATATACTGATTTCTTTTCTTTTGAATAAATACAAAATAGTGGGAACCTGAGTCTTTCGGCAGTTCTATTTTTAGTTTGAGAGAACTCCATACTGTTTCTATAATGAATGTATTAATTTCTATGTCCACTAACAATGTATAACAACCACCTTTACTCCACATCCTTGCCAGCATTTGCTAGTTTTCATGTTCTTAATAATCATTCTAACTGGGATGAGAGGTAGAATCTCATTTTGATTTTGATTTGCATTTCCCTGATGATTAGTGATGTTGAATTTTTTCTTCATCTGTTTATTGGTCATTTGTATGTCTTTCTATGAGAAATGTCTATTTATATTCTTTGCCCATTTTGTAATCAATTTTTTTTGATGTTGAGTTGTTTGAGTTCCTAGTATATTCTGAACAGAAATCCATTGTCAGAGGAATAATAATTTACAAATATCTTCTCCTATTCTGCAGATTGTCTCTTCATTCTGTTGGCTGCTTCCTTTGCTGTGCAGAATGCTTTAAGTTTGATATAATCCCATTTGTCTATTTGTGTTTCTGTTGTTTGTACTTTCAAAGACTTATGCATGAAATATTTGCCTAGACTGATGTCCTGAAGCATTTCCCCTATGGAAGTATTTTTATAGTTTCAGGTCATAAATTTAAGTATTTAATTCATTTTGAGTTGATTTATGTATACAGTGAGAGATAAGAAGTTAGTTTATTCTTCTGCATATTGATGTTTAGTTTTGCCCACATAATTTATTGAAGAATGTCTTTTTCTCAATGCATACTTTTGGCAAATTTGTCAAAAATCAATTGCCTCTAAATACCTGAATTTATTTCTGGGTACTCTGCTCTGTTTCATTGGTCTGTGCATCTGTTTGCATACCAATACCATGCTGTTTTGGTTAAGATAGATTTGTATATATTTTGAGGTGAAGTAGTGTAATGTGTCCTGCTTTGCTATTTTGCTCAGGATTGCTTTGTCTATTCTGAGTCTTTTTTGATTCCATATAAATTTTAGGGCTATTTTTTTCTACCTCTGTGAGGAATGTCATTGGTATTTTAAGAGAGATTCTGCTGACCTTGTAGATTGCTTTGTGTAGTATGATTATCTTAACAATGTAATTCTTCCAATTCATAAGCATGATATGCCTGTTTATTTTAGGGGTTCTCTTCAATTTTTTTCATTGGTGGTTTTGAGTTTTATTGTAGAGATTTTCATTCACCTCCTCAGTTCAATTTATTCCTAAGTATTTTTTTCATAGCTACTATAAATGGGATCACTTTTTTTATTTATTTTTCTGGTAGTTTGTTATTGGAATATAGGAGTACTGATGATTTGTGTGTACTGATACTGTATCCTGCGATTTTACTGAATTTATTTCTCAGTTTTAAGAGGATTTTTTTGTTGTTTTTTGGTAGAGTCTTTAGGCTTTTCTATGTATATAAGATTATATCATATGCAAATAGAAATAATTTGACTTCTTATTTTTCGATATGTATGCCATTTATTTATTTATATTGCCTAATTGCTTTGTCTAAAATTTTCAGTACCGTGCTGAATAACTGTTGTGATATTAGGTATCCTAATCTTGCTTCATTTCTCAGAGGAAAGGCTTTTAAGCTTTTCCCCATTCTCTCTCCGTTCGTCTGCATCTCGTTATTGGGCCGTGAGAACAAGCAGCCCGACCCTCGGTTTGGTCCGGGAACATAGTCATGGCTTAGATCACTGCAGTGGAACAGAAAAGGCTAACTATAATGATAGTTAAATATAGATCTGAAGCTGCTTCACTTGAAATGCCTCTGAACTAGCTGATATGTAGGACAATCCTTTACATGTTCTAGATTGTAAAATAAGATAAGAAAAGAAAAATAGCTCAGAGCAGTCTGAGCTATGAGGTGTGCAAATTTTATCGGGCCCAGAGTGAAATAAGTGTGGGACTTCAATCATGATCTCTACACCTACGCCTGGGGGCAATTGTTTAAAGTCATCTAGAAATCCTCTCCACTGACTGCCCTGTGGACTCAGAAACTGAGTTTCCAACTATTAGCCTTTGTTTTTGTTTATTTTCATAGAAATGTCCCCTCATTAAATGCCTGATGGCTAGTACCATCTAGCAGATACCCCCTACTACCAAGTCCCAACTGAGGATTCTGCTGGCTTTAACTGAATGAGAAAAGGGACTTAGATTGTTCAAAGCGGGGAACTGACTCGATTTTGATCACTCCATTTCCCCTCTTGACTCTACATGCCCTGGGGACATTTTGGTCTGAGAGCCCTTCTCTCACCTCAAGAATCAGATTCAGAATCAAAGGCTGAGCTTGTTCACGGCAGCAAAGCTGATGGCCCATATATCTGGGGTACTTCCTTCTTCTCTGCACCACCCCTGTTCAACTTTCTTCTGAGGGAAACTTCAGCACCTTTCAGTCATGTGTCTGCTGGGAGGTATACGGAGGCTTGATTCCGAAGCCCTTCCAGGAAGACAGGAAAGCTTCTTCCTAGGCCTGCTGGGATGGTCTGTCTGCCCTCCTCGAGCTTGGCTGGGTCTTGACAGACAGTGTGGATCTTAATTTAAAAAAAAAATCTATCCCTTTATTTATTTTCATAATCTTTTGTTAAAAAAAGAGTAAGGTGTTTGTTTTTACATTTTTATTGCTCTGTAGAAAGAGAATGAGGATCTAGGATTCCCCTGGAAGAAGCAGGGGCATTCCTTCTCTGATTGGTGCCCTCAACTGGACACACACATGCACACACAAGTACATGCACATACGTGTGCAGATACACACACATGCACACACACCTGTGGGATATGATGAGGTTTCTCTTCAAATAATCTGATCAATCTTTTATTCTTTAATTCATAGTACCTCCCCTCCTTTCTCCTTTTTCTTCTGTTTTCCTTTCTGCCTTTGTTAGATGCCCAGGCACACCACAGTACTAGGCGTTATCAGTACCACCAGCTCACATTCCTTTCCTTATTTGGAAAGAGGACTAACTTCCTAGCTCATTACAGACACCCCTTCCCCTTCGTCTCCATTTTTTTTTTTTTTACTTGCCCACCTTATCTAAAAAAATCAAATCTTTAGCCAACTGGGATTAGTTTAGATTGTACGACCCGACCCCAGCCAGTGGAAAAAGGTACAGGGGCAGGACTTGTGTCAGGAATAAAGGCTCTCCTGCCTCTTTGTTCAGGTGTGCTCTCATGGCGACCGGCCAAGGAGGCACCCCTCTGCACAGAAGTAAAATTGCTTTGCTAAGAATCCTTCGTTCGAGTGTTCAGTTTCCTTAGGATTTTGAGCGTTGTTCCTAACACACCCTTGAAACCCCCCACACTCACACAGTTACCTACACGGAGGGCACATACCCCCACACCCGAACACATATATACACACACGCGTGTTCTTGTCTGGCTTTCACATCTTGGGCTACAGAGATTGGAGGAGATCAGGAGAGGAGACTGGGGAGCCAAGGGAGAGTATGGCAGCAGAGGAGAGGTGTCCATTAGGAGAAGAAGCCACACTTCCCAGGAGACCAGGGAACTCCCTTTCCTGCTGCGACTTTCTAGAATCTTACATTTCTCTTCCTGGACTTGGGAATCGATTCTCCAATAATTAAACCAGACGGACTCCAAGTTTATGTCTTTCTGGGGGTTGAATTCCTGTGGAGTCTTGAGCTGAACACATGAGTTCTCTGTGGCCCTTCTGGACTCTTCTTGCCTTCAGTGATAAGGGAAGAATGAGGTACACACTTGGGGTTCAGATTTGTATGGAGACAAAATTTATTAGAACAGGAGGCAAAAAAACAAACAAAAAATGGAGGGGATCAGTGCGGGAAAGAACCACACATGCTGATGTCCCCCGAACACTTACAGAACTATCCCTTGTTCTTCCTCATCTCTAGTCATGAAAGTGGCGGATTTGTTTAATCAGTTATTTCCGATCTCTTTATACTCTCGGGGAATATAAGGGGTCAGCAGACTTCCGCTGAAGCCACCTCACAGCTGGGGTGTGCAAGTGTGTGGTGACCACATTTGTCTTCTTGTGGCTATTGAGATGAGGTTTTATTACTAATGACTTACTCATCCTCCCTGCAGACGTAGGGCTTCTCCCCTGTGTGTGTCCTCTGGTGATAGCAGAGGCTTGACCTATCGCTAAAGCCCCGCCCACACTCCCTGCAGACGTAGGGCTTCTCCCCTGTGTGTGTCCTCTGGTGTCTGAGGAGGTGTGACTTATTGCGAAAGCCCCGCCCACACTCCCTGCAGACATAGGGCTTCTCCCCTGTGTGTGTCCTCTGGTGTCTGAGGAGGTGTGACTTATTGCTAAAGCCCCGCCCACACTCCCTGCAGACATAGGGCTTCTCCCCTGTGTGTGTCCTCTGGTGACTGAGGAGGTTTGACTTATCTCTAAAGCCCCGCCCACACTCCCTGCAGACATAGGGCTTCTCCCCTGTGTGTGTCCTCTGGTGTCTGAGGAGGTGTGACTTATCGCGAAAGCCCCGCCCACACTCCCTGCAGACATAGGGCTTCTCCCCTGTGTGTGTCCTCTGGTGTCTGAGGAGGTGTGACTTATTGCTAAAGCCCCGCCCACACTCCCTGCAGACATAGGGCTTCTCCCCTGTGTGTGTCCTCTGGTGAGTGAGGAGGACTGACTGCCAGCTAAAGCCCCGCCCACACTCCCTGCAGACATAGGGCTTCTCCCCTGTGTGTGTCCTCTGGTGACTGAGGAGGACTGACTGCCAGCTAAAGCCCCGCCCACACTCCCTGCAGACATAGGGCTTCTCCCCTGTGTGTCTCCTCTGGTGAGTGAGGAGGACTGACTGCCGGCTAAAGCCCCGCCCACACTCCCTGCAGACATAGGGCTTCTCCCCTGTGTGTCTCCTCTGGTGAGTGAGGAGGACTGACTGCCGGCTAAAGCCCCGCCCACACTCCCTGCAGACATAGGGCTTCTCCCCTGTGTGTGTCCTCTGGTGAGTGAGGAGGACTGACTGCCAGCTAAAGCCCCGCCCACACTCCCTGCAGACATAGGGCTTCTCCCCTGTGTGTATCCTCTGGTGAATGAGGAGGTGTGACTTCCAGCTAAAGCCCCGCCCACACTCCCTGCAGACGTAGAGCTTCTCCCCTGTATGTGTCCTTTGGTGTGTAATAACATCTGATTTAACACTGAAACCTTGTCCACACTCTCCATACTTGACTTTTGCAATTCTTGAGATTCCTACCCCCACAAATAATTTGCCTGTGTTCCCTGGATTCACTTTCTGGCCTGTTCTGGACTCTTCTTCCATTATTCTTTTTCCCACTCTACAGCTCCCCATTTGTCCTTTGGGTGGGCTAGAAAAGGCCCTTGAAATCTCCCTCTGCCATGTCCTTTTATTCAAGAGTTTGGACCTTTCTTTGATCTCTTGACCTTTGGTTTTGTCATTACGGCTGTGTGGATCTGGATATTGCTGCTCCTGATTCTGATCCCCTGGGCAGGGATTCTCTGGTTGGAGGAGTTTTCTTGCAGATGGTCCTGGGAAGTTCTGAGAGGAGTGATTGCGTTCTACATGTTGACTGAGAAATTTCTGACTTGAAAAGGCCAGACAGCATGAGGGACATGGATGGATCTCTGGCTTTGGTTCTGAAAGAGGAAGTTTTTGGTCAGGGTAGATGTTTTGTTCAGGCCTTACCACATATGAAGGTATGAAGATCAAATGAAGAAACAATCATTCTTCATATGTTAACAATGCAAGCTCTTTCCCACCAAGTGCTGGATGGACCTTTACAGTCCATTTTTCCATTCCACTTTTATTCACTACATCTTAAAAAATCCAGAAATCCCACATCTTGGTCCTTTTCTACATATCTGCCAGACTAGGTAACCTCAACCAGCATCAGGGCAGTGTCATTCCTTACATAGATGGAACTGCAGTGACCTTTTCCCCACACTGCAGGTATTTTCCAAGTCCTATAAAGCCTTCCCTGATCACCCTCTGCCACATCCTCCCTCCCTGGTCCCTGGGCACTTTTGCTGACATGAGACCTTCAGCTATTTTATTCTATTGAGAAATAACACTCTTGATGACTTAGGTGAGATTGTCCTTAGTGATTTCCTAAGAGGGGAAAAGGATCTATTAAGAGCACTCAGGCTGGAGATCCACAAATGTGGTTAAAGAGAAGATGTGTGAGCAAATCTGAATTTGAGTCTCCTCATTCAAAAGGACATATTTAATTGAGGACTGTTATGTGCCTGGTTCTCCATCAGGAAGTGGGATTCAGGTTGGCCAACACAGAGTGGTCCAGGTCCCACTGACTAAAGGACTCTGGGTCCTGCTACCCCAACTAGGTGCATAGATTCCATTTCAGATTCCACAAATCATAAAATGAGAATATGTTCTCTCTCAGGCTGCCCATCAAGTATTCATTTTTGAGATATTTCATTCAGTCTGAGCCCATTTCAAATACAATAGGAAGTCTTGTGTCAAAATATATCCCTACTCAGACTTACCTCCGTGCTCCCCACCTTCATCCTGCCCACCATTCTCTCTCATCTGGAAACTGGAGCAGCTCTGAGGGGATGACCCACTGGAGACTGTTTTCCAAAAATGAACCAAAGCTGAATTCTTTCTGGCCGTAGGACCATTGCACTAGCTGCGCCCTGTGCCTGGAACCCTTGGCCCACAGGCACTTGCACTTCTCAAATGCTGTCTCCTAAGAGAAATCTTCCCTGACAATCCCCTGCAACACTCTACTCTCACCTCACACGGATCCCCAGGTATTCTTTCTGGATTCATTTACTTCAAAGCACTAATCACTGTCTGATATTACACATATGTCTGTATGTAATCATATGGTTCCCTAATTCACATGTCAAGAGCAGTTTTTCTGATTGTCTTGATCAATCTATATTTACACTTCCTGCAACATGGTCTGGCACTGAGTAGGAATTCACATGACAGCTAATTGAGGTAATTAATGAATGAATAACAACACATGCATATCATTAGGAAATATCAAGGAAATGCCAGAAGAAACTACCTTGTTGGGAGAGCTGGTAGGTGTTTGAGAACTTGATTTTTGTCTTTAAGTCTTTCAGCACTATATGCTGTTATATACTTTGTGCATGAAGTACTTAGAATATAAAATCAGAACAAAGATTTAAAAATATGAAAATTGTTCCAAAGAGGCAAAGGTATATAACATGAATGTTTAATTTTGGAAGCCACTGATTTGAAATCTTACTGACTTTAGATGGCATTTTACTGTACTTAAGAGTTAAACCATGAAAATTCTCTAGGATAATTCTTTCTTTCCTGTCCTTTTAAAAGAGTAATAGTGATGCCTACCTCTCCCTGCCATGAGCTCTTTCTTCCACTTGCTGCCCCACTTGATGCCCAGTTCCTGGCCGTATTCATCCCCATACCAGACCAGCAGTTCACAGCCTGGCCTAATGACTCGGCAGGTTCTATAGAAGATCTGCCTGTGGTACTGGAAGGCCACCAGGTTCTGCTCTTCATCATCCCGGGCACAGTTCACATACCTGGGGTCAAGGCAGGCAAAGGGAAAGAAAAGAGGCAGTGAGTTCCCAGTATCAGATCCAGGTATGGCCCATCACCTGCTGGTCTAGGCCTCCATGGTCTAGTGCTGACCACTCCCCCACCACTCCTCCGGGAACCTTCTGCTCATTCCTAAATCTCTTTCACAATGTCATATGAACTTGCACTTCTGACTACAGTGTTCATCCTGCCTAGAATGTTTCCCTGCCATGCCTAATCAACCATTTTTTCAAAGCCCAACTCCAGACTTACCTCCACCTTGACTGGCCATAAAACACATTGACTTCTAGCTTCTCTAAACTCTAAATTAATTCTGTTTTATACCACAGAACTTGGTGCTTGATCATGTACTCTGCTTCTAGATTAGTGCACATCATTCTACACTCAGCCCAAGTCCATCTTTCTTTGACAGACCTTCCTCTAATCACCCTACAGTTCATTCAGGTGCCATTCACCTGACTTCCCCAGATTCCCAGAGAAACTTAGAAGTCTCTTTCTCTTGGCCCAATAACATAGAACAGTAATAGTTGATTCATTTTTCTATTCTCTGATAGAACGAGAGCCCATTGTGGAAAGGGGCTGAGTCATCCTGCAGCTCACTTCTGTTCAAGTAGTGAACCTCACTTCCTAACCTGGAACATACAAAGTGCTTAATAAACGTGGATTACATAAATTAAAGCATGAATTCAGAGTCCCCCGTGAATCTAGGCTTCTCAAGGTTTATCTTGGTGCCTCAATTTTGTCTAGCATACATATTTATGTTTTGATACCAATAAATCATAATATCTATATTTTTATTTATTATTTCTAAATGTTGATGGTATAAAACAGCATTGTATGGAGAAAAATAGAAATAGGGAATGTGAAAATCATTGAGGGAGGCATAATGATAAGGAAGGAAATCCAGCTTTGTGAGAGATGAAGGTTCTCTCTGCAACTCAGAGAGCTACTGGCCTTACCTCATCCAGTTGGCCCAGGATTTATCTTTTCCATCCACATACTCATAGCAGTTTCTCCCCTTGGTGATCTGAGTTTCAGAAAAACAAGGCAAAGGCTTTTTAGAGGGTAAAAATCAGAAAAATTATTTTACTCCACTGTCGTCAATGGCCTTTGGGCCTGCATAGCTTCAGCTGCCAATTGAGACCACATGGTATGCACCTTAGTCATCATCTATCTACACATCTGAGTTGGTTTGTCCAATCAGAGCAGAAGCTCCACAGGGAGGATGCACTTCTTTGTCTTTGTACCACTCTGCTCCCATGTAACCTCTGATCTCTAAATAGGAGTTCCGTGTTCATGCAAAGAACCTTGAGTACACAGAGCTAACCATGTTATCCTTACCTATATACTAACATGTAGAAGATTATGCCCCACCAAAGGCACAGAAGGGATGTGGGAAGACAGAACAGGGGAAATGGCAGGCTCTTCTTACCAGCCAGGAGTATCCATTGTTGGCTGCCTCTTCGTCTTCTGTAATTCGGCCCTCATAAGGGCCAAAGTGCAGACCCAGCGGCAGATCAGATGCCTCATTCCATACTCCAAGCCCAGCCTGAGGGATGCCTGATGGCCCAATTCTCAGCCCTGGGGGCAGACTGAGGGCTGAACGGTTGGGGTGCCCCTTGTCCACTGCACTGTCCTTTACAAATGTAGGGGGCCCATGGGCAGCACAGCTGTCAATGAAGAAGTTCTGACACATCTCACAATCTGGAAGTGAGGGAAGCAGAGATTAGGAAAGTTGTAATGCATGTTCCTTGATATAAGAGCTTCAGAAAGAGCTTGGCATTCACATTATTTAGCCCTAATCCTGTACTCTAATTCATTAGAGTAAGGGAATGATTTGTGGGCCAAATGATGAAATTATTGCACCAGGACATAACAGCAAGCTGTGTGAGTGGCCAAAAGTGTCACTTACAGAGGTAATCATCATCCTGCGGCTCGCTGACCTCTTTGTATGCATGACCCTTTCTTTCTCGCAGGCTATACATCTTTCTTTCAGTCTCCTTCTTCCTGAGTTCTAGGTTGGAGAAGAGTAGACGGGTAAAATTGGGAATCTGGGGTGTTTGTCCTTGTTTCATAAGAAAATGTGAAATCTACCATCAAATTGGCATCTACCTTTCTACATACTCTAGTGTCCCCCTCTTTAACTACTGCTTCAGAGAGACTTAGACCCCACACCCACACTGACTGCAGATGCCTATTTAATATTAGTTTCTGGCTGTTCTCATTATACCATTAACCTCCCAACATTTCTACTTACAAAATGGTTCATTCATGCATTTATTCATTTGGAAGATATTTCTTGAGGTCACATTACATCTTAGGCATTGAACAAAGGCCTGGACATACAACACTAAGATAAAGTATGATCTCTATAGGGGATCTTCTACAAACTAGTAGACATGTGATGGAAGAGGAAATGTAGAAATGCACAAAAGAATATCTATTATCAGAGAGGTACTTATTGGACACCTTGCATGTATGGGTTCATTTATATTTAATTTAATGCTTTCAAACAATGTACTTGGTCTATATATACTTGGTCTCATTTTACAGATTACCATTCAGGAGCTCAGAGAATTTATAAGATTTGCCCAAGGCCCCAGTGCTTCTATGTAGATTATAACCCAAGTGAATGACTTCAAAGTTAATGTTCTTACATGCTATTCAATACTGTATCCAAGGCTGGACATGGTGGCTCAAGCCTGTAATCCCAGCATTTTGGGAGGCTGAAGTGAGCAGATCTCTTGAGGCCAGGAGTTTGAGACCAGCCTGGTCAACAAGGTGAAACCCTGTCTCTACTAAAAATACAAAAATCAGCCGGGCACAGTGGCGCACGCCTATAATCCCAGCTACTCGGGTGACTGAGGCAAGAAAACATCTATTTTCATGGAGGCAGAGGTTGCAGTGAACCGAGATTGCGCCACTGCACTCCAGCCTGGGCAACAGAGTGAGACTCTGTCTCAGTGAACAAATAAATAAATAATTTTAACAAAATACTGCATCTACCTTCTGGTCTCACAGTTGAGTCCAGCTTAAGCCCAGGCCTATGCAAAGTCCACCCCACATAGGTAGACCATACTCATCAACCTTT